>NC_000022.11:18483513-18659564 GCF_000001405.40 Homo sapiens
AATTCAACTTATTTAATAGACATAAGTTTATTCACATTAGGATTCTAGCGTGACCTTGGGAAGATTGCCTTTCAAGGAATTGATACATTTCACTGAGGTTATCAGACTGCGGTCATAGAACTGTTCATGATATTCCTTTTAATGCCTAACAGTTCAGTAGAGATGGCTCCTCTTTTATTTCTGAAATTGGTCATTTGTGTTATCTTCTTTTTCTTGGTTAGCCTGCATATCAATTCATTCATTGTAATGAGCATATCAAAGAACCAGCTTTTGGTTTTATTGATTTTCTGATGATTTCAGTGTTTTAATTTTATTGATTTCTGTGATGTTGTTTATTACTTTTACTTGCTTTCCATTGCATTCCTCTATTTTCTATAGTTCCCTAATTGAAACATGATATTACTGATTTTAGGTCTTGTGATTTTTAGTATATTGCATCCAATGCTGTAGATTTCCCTCTAAGGACTGCTTTTGCTACATCCAGAAATCTTGCCAAGTCACATTTTCTTTTAATGTAGTTAAAAGTATTTTTAATTTTCTATTGAGACTTCTTAACCCATGAGTTATTTAAAAGTGCATTGCTAATTTGCAAATATTTGGGGATTTTGTGGCTCTTTTACAGTTGTTGATTTTTTGTTGTCAGGTATGTGTTGCAAAAGCAGTCGTCTACCTCATCTTGCCACCACCCAAGATGGCCCAGGATGTGGGCTCTCCCTGAGTGAATCTTTGGCAATCTGCCAACCTGATGTGTTCGGCCTCCTTCTTTAGTCTGAGCTTGCCTTCTGCTTAGAAAGGGCCATTCTCAGTTCTGGCAGGGAGTTTTCCCAACATTGAGAAGGTGGCATTCTTACTCCCCACTGCAGCCTGCACCTCTGACCGGTGGTCAGCAGACAGGACAGAGGTCCTCATTAGACAGAGTTCAGCAGGGTCTCTGACCAAAGTGCATCTTCAGAGTCTGCACCTACCCACTGTGACCACGGGCAGGCTCTGAGTCCTAAAGCAGGAGGAACTGTGCGACCATCCTGATTGGAAATTTGTGAGGATCACCGTGTTACTCAAGTAAGGTCTTTGGAAAGTGTCGTATTACTACTGTTTGTGAACTGCTTGTTGGTGGCCTGGCTGAGCCACACACTTTATGAAAACCAGGACCCCTCAGCTGGTGTGGGTGTCTATGCAGCCTGAGACCCTCATGTGAACAGCCTCGTGGCAGCTGTCTTTGCCCCTTGCCACCATCAGTGCCTCCTTGTTCCTGGGCACTGCTTTCTCTGATGGTGCTCCATTGTTTTCCTGCACCTCAGTGTCTACAGCTGGATGTCTCTTCCGCAATCTAGGCGAGGGGGCATCAACGGCAGTTCTGCTGTGGCACTGCCCTCCTTCTTAGCTTGTCTTGCTCTGTCTTAGGCTCCCTCAAAGATCCCACCCTTCAGGTTCTTCCACAAGTTTCTTATTGAAATCCGAGCAGAAAACTATGACCAATATGACCAATCCTATACCCACTGAAGACATGAATGAAGAATTAAAACAATTCTCCATGGACTCTACCATATAGATCCCTAGAAGTAATTTCTAAAAAAAAAAAAATCAAGGAAAATGTAATAGTTTTCCATAAATTAGAATACCCTACATGTACAATTAAATGAAATGGCTAGTATAGTCTTGAAACCAAAACCAGATAAGGTAAATTAAATTCTGTGATATTTTAAAATACTTTAAATTCTGACTAATGTGAGTTAATCTCAAAATATGAAATAGTAGATTAACATTGAAAATGCAATAAATAAAATTAGCTACCTCAAGAGTTTAATGGAAAAAAATGTGATTATTGCAATAGATTCAGGAAATTCATGAATAACATTCACCCTATATTTGTAGGACAACTATCTGATTAACTTTAAGTGACCTGTTACAACCACTTGAATTAATGCTGCTTTCACAGCATATCTCTTGGCTTGTTAAAAACCCGACAAGAATTTCCGTAACATTATTTTTAACACCTATATTGGGTGTGAACCCACCATAAAGTTTGCCCACTGAAAAGGTCTACAATTTGATGCTTTATTAAATTGATACTGTGTGCACCCAACACCACGATCTAATTTAAATATGTTTCCCTCACCCAAGTTCTGTCTTGCGCACTGGCAGTTAATCCCCACTCCCATCTCCAGCCCTAAGCAATACTGCTGTGACATTCCATCTCCATAAATTTCCCACTTGCTTTATAGAAATGGACATATATATATATTTGGAATCTGACTTCCTTCATTTAGCATACTATGTTTGAAGTTAATTGACGTGTTAGCACGTGCTGGTCATGTGTTTTCCTTCATAGTCTGCTGTGTTTATTCATACAAATAGTGTTTATTCATTTATCAGTTAATGGACATTTAATTGTTTTGTTATTTTCTTTGATGAGTAATGTAGCTTTGAGCATTCACATACAGTCATGTAATGCATAATGACATTTTGGTCAAAAAAAATTTTTTTTTTTCTGAGACCCAGGCTGGAGTGCAGTGGCACAATCTCGGGTCACTGGAACCTCCATCTCCCAGGTTTAAGCAATTCTCATGCCTCAACCTCCCGAGTAGCTGGGACAACTGGCACACACCACCACGCCTGGATAATTTTTGTATTTTCAGTAGAGACAGGATTTTGCTGTGTTGGTCAGGCTAGTCTCAAACTCCTAGCCTCAGGTGATCCACCCACCTCTGCCTCCCAAAGTGCTGGGATTATAGGCATGAGCCACCACACCCAGCCTAATTTTTTTAAGAAAGAAGGGAACTATTTTCTAAATTACTTTTGCCAATTTATATTCCTACCATGATGCATAGCACTAATTTCACCGTACAATGTATGGTAGGCCCCAATATGTAAGAAATGATGAAAGTAACACATAAAGATTAGTATAAGACAAATGAGATTATCGTTGTTGCTATCATCTTTGTCAAATTCTGAAAACAATCTGAGTATATTTTTATATAAATATGCTTGGCAACATAGCTGAAAAAAGCATTATCAGTTACATTTATCAGTAACAAAGACATAAATTTGAAGGGGGAAAAACACTTGTACTAACAATGCAATGTCAGAATTAACATAAAAATTCTGCTGGTCACTTTGGAATATTTAATTGCCTGGGGCAGTGTTTAGTAGACAAATGAGCATCTATGGAGCACCCAAAGTAGGGGAATCAACAGAACTTGGGTTTCAAAAGTTATCTGGGTTTAGAGCGTGAAACTTTGTTAGAGGACACACACCTTGCATGAGTGAGGTGCCTTGGTGTGTGTGGACGTATCATTATGCTTGGAGGTACAGCATAATGGTGGCTTCCTCCAGAAAGGGACATTTGGGGTAGATTCATGCCATCTAGACAACACAGCCTGATGTGGCATGGACATGAATGGAGGTGAAATGGTCAGTAGTTGAGAGGATCAGTCCTGACAAGGGCCGAGGTGAAAAACCTGGGAACACCTTCAGGTGCAAAGTCTTCAGTTGAAAAAGGAGGTGGTCACAGGAAATACTGAGATGGGTCAGCAATGCATGGGAGACAGAGTTCTTGGCCCTGCAGGGTGAGTAGTGTGGATTCTCAAGTTTTCTCCTCTCTCCATTAATTTCTTTCCCAATGCAGATGACTTCCATCATACAGTCTTCAGCAACCTTGAAAGATTGGACAAGCTTCAGCCCACTCTTGAAGGTAAAGGAAGGCAGCTAACAAGACTGGCATCTGGGCTTGGCTGTGCATGTTTTCTATCGTGGGGAAATATATGTAACACATTATTTATCATTTGAACCTTTTAACCAAAGTGTGCACTCCGTGGCATTCAATATATTCACAGGGTTGCATAACCAACACCACTATCTACACCCACAATTTTGATGATTTCTTACAAAACCTTGTCCACAATAAGCAATATAGCACCTTCCCCCTATTTCCAGCCCATGGTGATTCCTATCCGACTTTCTCTTGTATGAATTTGACTATTCTAGGCACTTCATGTAATTACAATTATACAATATATTCCTTTTGTGTCTGGCTTATTTCACTAAGCATAATGTTCTCAATGTCCACCCATGTTGTATCATCTATCAAAATGATGTTCGTTTTTTACAGATGGATGATGTAGCATTGCATGCAGACCACCTTGCTTTTATTACATTCATTTGTTCACTGATGGTTGGATTATTTCCACCTTTTGGCTCCTGTGAAAAGTGATGCTACAAACATTAGTATACAAACATCTGTTTGATTTCTGTTCTCTATTCTTTGGGGTGCCTAAGAGTAGAGTTCCTGGGTCCAACAGGGGTTCTATATTTAACCTTCTGAGCCACTGCAGACTGTTTTTCACAGTGGCTGCAACTTTATCCATTTCTACCATCAATGTATCAGGGTTACAATTTCTTTACGTCCTTGTTCACACTTATTTTCCTTTAAATCATCCTAGTAGGTGTATATTGGTGGCTGCTTGTGTTTTTCATTTGCATTTCCCTAATGACTAATGATCCTGAGCAGCTTTTCCTGTGCTACTATCTGTGGCTGTATCTTCTTTAGGGAAATATATGTTGAAGTCTTTTGCCCATTTTTAAAGAGTTGTCTGATTTTTATTTAGTTAGTTTGTTGCTGTAGATTTTTGAATATATCTTAAATATATTTAAAAATATTCTAAATTTTAGTCTCTTACAAGATAAATGATTTGCAAATATTTCCCCCTTTGTGTAGAACTTTAGATTCACAAACTTCATTAATTTGTATGAAATCCTCAGCAGTTGACCCCAAACAGATAAGACTGAAGCAGTATTTTAGGAATAGTTGAAAGTATGATCACCACAAAACATAAGCGTAATCAAATCCTGCAAGCTACATGTAAGGCACAATGACAAATAAGGCAGCAAAGGGCCATCTGGTGATTAGTTCACCACACTTGTTGCAACTGTTTGCACTGCAGAGTTAAAACATACCAGCATTCAACCCATGTCTCCTGTCTTGAAGTAAACTGTCGTATGTTGGCTGGCCTGAACAAGCGTAGATATTCTCCATCCTCAATTAATATGCATGCATGACAAAGAAAAGGAGGCCTGGATGAAAAAATACTGTGTGATTAATAATTATGCTTTAATTAATTTTAAAGGATATAATTTCAGTACTTCTAATTCTCCCATCAGCAGTTATAACAAAGGATTAGTGAATAAATACCATAGACTGTTTTGCCTAGAATTGAATCCAACCTGTCTATTAAACTTTGCTTTTATTCAAGTGCAAAATGCTAAAACACATAATAACTGCAGTGACAGCCACTGTGGATCCTCAGAGGTAAAAGTAGTCTTGGGACATAAATCCTGCAAGTAATATTGTTTTTACAGGTTTAGAAAACCATTTAGCTGGGTTTCAAACCTCACAGTGTGAGCAGTGGGACTCTCATCAAACTATAGCATGTGCTTCAGTACCATTTGTAGACTGACTCATTCCCATTGCCTTAAGTTGCCATCAGCAAAATGCCAGGGACTCTATTTCTTGCTCCTTAGCTCCTCGTTCTTGCCTGTCTTTCCACGAGGGAGGATTTTCTAGCAGGAGCTCAAGCTGTGCTTTTAATGAAACACATCCACACACACTGTCCTGTTGTCCACATTAAGCAGAGCTCCCTGAATAACTCATGAACAAAAGCATCTATGACTAACTGTTGCTCTGTGTCCTCCTAGCCTCTGAGGAGTCTCTAGTTCACAAGGACAGAGGAGATGGAGAGAGGCCAGTCAACGTGAGGGTAAGGTTGCCTTGCTTTCTCTGAAATAGAAATGTTCCTTTCTTGTTGTCTTTCTTTTTCAACTGACTTTACATGTGAAAAGATGACAATGTCCATGACAGGTATTAAATGCAGTTTTCTGAGGGGGAGGAAGAAGTGACTCTTAGCAACTGATATGTAATACAAAATGGCATTTAGCTATGATGGCTTCAGGTTGTAGACTGTATCCTTGGGGTCCTTGTCCTTGGAAGCAATGTCTTCTCCTTGGATTCAGTATTTTGCACTTGCCAACCTACGTGGACCTGAGAGATCCACCATCCAGAAGCTGATGTCTTTTCCAGTGTGTATCCTACCCTTGTTTTGGAGGCCTTGAAGTTGACTACACTTTCTGATCAAGTTTTCAATATTCATTGAGAGAAACACAGCCTTGTGCAAACAATCCACAACATGACATACCCCTCAAAAAGCTTTGTTTCTGTATTGCAGGTGGTGCAGGTGGCCCCTCTGAGGCATGAATCTAGTAAGTATTCTGGAATCACTTACCAAGAAAACAATCTGGATGCCAAGAAAGGTGTGGCATCCTTGCCTGGTTTCAATGTGAAGAGCCACCCTGATCCTGGGATTGTGATAGGAATAAGTATAGGGGAAGTGTTTTTTTAAAACCTGAATTCCCCAGGGAAAAATTATGGCCAAATTTTGAGGAAGCAGCTGTGCTCCCTTTTGGGTGGTGCTGAGTTGGGTGCTTGAGGATTGGTGGTGTCTTGTGTGAGGCTGCATCGTGTGGTGTGAATGTGTGTGTTTCTGTACAGGTGAGGCTGTGTGTTTTCTCAGGAGAGATTTCCCACTTATACAACCCAATCACCAGTGTCCACTTCTAACAATAAAATCCACCCCCGCTCTACTCTCTCTGTACAGTGACTCCTCCACCCTCACCAGAGCCATCCCCGGGTCTGCCTTATTATCCCCACTGCTCAGGTGGAGAACCTGAAGGGCCAAGGGAGTGGCCCCAGCTCCCGAGTTCCTGAATGAAAAAGTGAAAACACGAACCCAGGAGTGTGGGCCAGTGCTGACGCTGACATGCACTTAGTCATGGGGTGTTCACCACCACACAGGGAGTCCAGCATTCATGTATAAACCCTAAGGCACCGAGCCCAAAAGGCCCCAGGCACTGCCCATCATCATAAAGTGGTCTCCGTGGTCACACAACCCAGGGCAGTTATAGGTTCATCTCCCCACGGACAGGCATAGTCATCAGTGTGTCAAAAGCACAAAGATCCCCAGGTGTTTGGCTCAGCTCACCGATCCTTTTTTTTTTTTTTTTTAACTTTTAAGTTCAGGGGTACATGTGCAGGATGTGCAGGTTTGCTACATATATAAATGTGTGTCATGAGAGTTTGTTGTACAGATTATTGCATCACCCATATATTGAGCCTAATATCAGTTATTTTTCCTGATCCACCCCCTCCTCCCACCTCCCACCCTCCAGTAGGCCCCACGCTCACAAATTCTAAGAGGAGTGGGGGACCACAAAGGCCAGTGTGGCCCACTTCAGTTGTGAAGTTAATTTGCTCAGCAACTGGCCAAAGTCTATAAGGATGGGTGATGTATTTTAGTAGATTTAGTAATACTATCTTCCCAAGCCCTAAAATGCTCAAATCCTGCCAGCCAAAAATGGTGAGGAGGGACAGATAGGAACTCTGTGTGGCACTTGGTTATTAGCCTGGCTTCCATCCCTTAGTGGCAACTCTCTTGTATATGTGGGTTAAAGACCCTCAGCCTCAAGCCAAGCCTCCTCCATGAGGAGCCATCTCACTATTGACTGGCTAGTGCCGGGTATGGCCACCAGCCCAACTGAAACAAAATGTTGCTTTAAAACAAGTGTAAATCTCATACATACAACAGGCAAATGCAGAAGCAGTGTGGTCTCGCAAGTTGTAAAGAGGACAGTCGCAATTTTGCTGGACTTCAACCTGGGTAGAAGACACGAGGGAACTCTGTCACTAAATCACGGCAGAGTTCAAGGCCGCTTGTAGACTATTTCGTGTTATAGAAGGTGGCCTTTAGCTACTAAGCAAAGGCCTCTGTTTCTCATTTCTTTCCTGTTCATCTCCTTGGTCATCCTTCTTCCACAAGGGAAACGAGCCCAAGCAAAAGGCAGTTTCAATATTAATTTGACCGAGGTTTTGTGCAGTTAATTATCATCCAGGTAATCAGGTGCAACCCAGTCTGCCTAGCAGCCCCCCTATCTCTGCTCTGTGTTTTCATTTAATAAACATTTTGGTCTACTTACTATGTGCTAGATTTTCTCGAGACCAAGTAAATGAGATAGAATCCTTATGTTGGCAGCTAAGTTAGATTTCACATAACTGACAAAAATTAAAATTTCTGATTTCTTGTAAAAATATTTTGTATGTGTGAATGCATACTGAATGTAAAGTGGATAAAAAACTCACACTTGCACTCATGGAAGGCTTTTCATGAATTTGTCAATTTTTATTTTTTATATTTCCCCACTTCACTGGATAATGCATACCTGAACCTGGAAACTGATGCCCACTGCAGAAAGTGTTCTGAGCCACATCCCTTAGCTTCACTAGTGCAGGTCCACCTGGGAGGATGTCCCAGCATCAGCTTGGCCCATGCTGTGATCAGCCACCTCCATGCACCACACCAAGCAAGCCCCTGGGTGATTCACAGTCTCCACTACCAGGGCACTGACCTTAACTCTGTGTTCTTCTAGCTCCCCATGAGGACACCGTACACAACATCACTAACGAGGATGCCTCACACGATATCACTAACGAGGACGCTGTCCACGGCATCGCTAACGAGGCCGCCGACAAGGGCAACGCCAACGAGGACGCCGCCCAGGGCATCGCCAACGAGGACGCCGCCCACGGAATCGCCAGCGAGGACGCCGCCCAGGGCATCGCCAACGAGGTCGCCGCCCAGGGCATCGCCAACGAGGACGCCGCCCAGGGCATCGCCAACGAGGACGCCGTCCAGGGCATCGCCAACGAGGACGCCGCCCACGGCATCGCCAACGAGGACGCTGCCCACGGCATTGCTAACGAGGATGCCGTGCACGGCATCGCTAATGAGGACTCCGTATACGACATCGCTAATGAGGATGCCATATATGACATCGCTAATGACACCGTACAAGGCACGCTAAAGAGGACGCTGTACACGACATCGCTAATGAGGACACCATACAAGGCATTGGTAATGAGGACGTTGTATATGACATCGCTAACAAGGACACTCTACAAGCCGTCGCTAACAAGGACACTGTACACAACATCGCTAATGACGGCACCGTACAAGACATCACCAATGAGGGCGCTTTATACGACATTGCTAATGATACCGACAAGGCACGCTAACGCGGACACTGTACACGACATCGCTAATGAGGACTCCGTATACCACATCGCTAATGAGGGTGCCGTATATGACATCGCTAATGACACCGTACAAGGCACGCTAACGAGGACGCTGTACACGACATCGCTAATGAGGACACCATACAAGGCATCGGTAATGAGGACGCTGTATACGACATCGCTAACGAGGACACCATACAAGCCGTCGCTAACAAGGACACTGTACACAACATCGCTAATGACGGCACCGTACAAGACATCACCAATGAGGGCGCTTTATACGACATTGCTAATGATACCGACAAGGCACGCTAACGTGGACGCTGTACACGACATTGCTAATGAGGACACCGTATAAGACATCGCTAGTAACTATCGCAAGAACAAAAAACCAAACACCGCATATTCTCACTCATAGGTGGGAATTGAACAATGAGATCACATGGACACAGGAAGGGGAATATCACATTCTGGGGACTGTTGTGGGGTGGGGGGAGGGGGGAGGGATAGCATCGGGAGATATACCTAATGCTAGATGATGAGTTAGTGGGTGCAGCGCACCAGCGTGGCACATGTATACATATGTAACTAACCTGCACAATGTGCACATGTACCCTAAAACTTAAAGTATATATAAAAAAAAAAGACATCGCTAGTGAGCACGCTGTATACGACATCGCTAATGAGGACACCATACAAGGCATCGCTAACGATGACGCTGTACACAACATCACTAATGATGACACCGTATAAGACATCGCTAATTATGACGCTGTATACGACATCGCTAATGACACCGTACGAGGCACGCTAACAAGGATGCTGTACACAACATCGCTAATGAGGACAGTGTACAAGCCATCGCTAATGAGGACACTGTATATGACATTGCTAACGAGGACACTGTACAAGGCATTGCTAACGAGGACGCTGTACACAACATCGCTAATGAGGACACCATATAAGACATCACCAATG
The DNA here is from genome assembly GCF_000001405.40 of Homo sapiens. Taxonomy (NCBI): domain Eukaryota; kingdom Metazoa; phylum Chordata; class Mammalia; order Primates; family Hominidae; genus Homo; species Homo sapiens. Next base: position 18,493,610 of record NC_000022.11, read on the forward strand.
AGGATGCTCTATATGACATCGCTAATGACACCCACAAGGCATGCTAACGAGGACGCTGTAGACGACATTGCTTATAAGGACACCGTACAAGACATCGCTAACGAGGACGCTGTATACGACATCGCTAATGAGGACGTTGTATATGACATCGCTAATGAGGATGCTTTACAAGACATAGCGAATGAGGTTGCTGTATATGACATCGCTAATGAGGACATTGTATATGACATCGCTAATGAGGACGCTCTATACGACATCACTAATGAGGACGCTGTATACAACATCGCTAATGAGGACGCTGTATATGGCATCGCTAATGAGGATGCTGTATACGAATTCGCTAATAAGGACGCTGTATATGACATTGCTAATGAGGACACTGTACAAGACATCTGTAAAAAAGAAGATGCTGCCAATGTAAGACACTTTTCTTTGTCTTGAACAGAAATGTTACTTTCCTGGCTTCTTTCCAATCAGATGTAGACATGAACATCTGCCAGTGTGCATTATCGATGTCATCTGCAGTTTAATCAAATGTAGACATGAACATCTGCCAATGTGGACTATTTATGACATCTGCAATTCCCTTGGTGTGGTGCTATTGATTGGCGGCCTCTCACCAACCCATGCCAGGCACACTGGGGTGTGGTAGATGGCAGCATCCACGATCCACTGCAATGCAGAGGTGTTTCCCTCCACAGCAGTTTTCCCCCATGGATTAAGAGTTGTGAAACTGCCAATCTAGATACACTTTAAAGATAAATTCTGTGGGAAAAGGTCTTGTCTTTTCCACAGGTGTCTTCCGTGCCAGTTTTGGGGGACTTTGACCTTTGACTCAATCACTATACCCCTTCTTATTTTCTCTCTCAAGTTGTCGAGAGACTATCAGATCTGTGTGACGTGTATGGCATCATTTCACCCTCCTAATGTTTTCTTTTCTATAATTGCAGGAGCCATTGACACTGGAGAATGATACCTACCCTGAAATAACTCACTTCCTGAGGAAAAAACGCCATCTCTAGGGTACAGAAACCTGATTCTGGGCTCCTTTTGGGAAGGAGGATTTGGAGTCTGGTGAGAGCAAATGATTTTGCAAGTATAAAACAATGTCCAGAGAGGCTGTAGGGATATCTGTGAGCCCAGAGGAAACACCAGGGGATCCTGTGCGAAGCACCATGGCTTCAGCTAGGGTGGGAGGAGTGGGTGGGCCTCTCTCTAATGACTTATCCTGGTGTTTGTGTTTCTAAAGATTTGATTGTGGAGAGCATATCTGATGATGGGGATTTGTAGGTAGGTAACTACTTTCCACGTAAGATCCAATTGGAGAGAGTTCCCAGGGGCCTTCGGGGTATCCATGCTGCTTGGGAGGTTAAGGGAGGGGGCATGAAATCAAAAGGAAACAGGAAATATGTGTCATATTGGATTTGGTCTTTTCCGGGTTTATTGGCATAATAGTTAGAACTGTCTCTCTGGGCTATGAGGGTGCTGTGATATTTAAAGGTGGTCTTTCCCAGAACACCTGGCCTTTTCTTTTCTGCCTCTGCCAAACATCACAGCCTTTGGGTTGGATTAGTCAGCACCCCTTGGGATTGTGCAGAAGAGGTTTGGGGTTGCATCGAGTGTCACCTGTGGTGAACAGAATCTGAGGGACACAACTCTCTCACAGGCACTTCCTTCAACCTGGAGACAGAGTTCTCCTGGTGTGTGCCCAGGGGTGGAGGAGAAATTGACAGTCTGCCTCTGAACTTTCAGGACTTTAAAAAGCACTCATGTTTCCATCCTCACTGTTGACTCCTGGCTTAAAGGGATCTCCCGGGGTGAGTGAGGAGGCGGGATCGGACCCTGGCAGTCTGACGGCAGCACCTGTGTTCCTCTGCACTGGGCCGTGGATGACATTACACACCTTGGTGAGAATCAGGAATTGAGGCTAACCACATCTGAAATTGAGATGGGCCTTGAGTCATATAAATAGTTTGGAAAAGATGCATTTTACTACGCTATTGAAAGAAACCATTTATTTCTCACTCCAGCAGGATAAATGGTTTTCAGTATCCACTTAACTGCTCATTGACTCTTACTGTAGATGAGGAGGTGGCCAGCAGCCCCTGCCCTCCCCCAGTTGTAGGCCCAAGGTAACCAGCAATTGACTGGATATAATGGAAGAGTGGTGCATTCGGAGGTATCTGTATTAATGGGACCCACATGATATGGATGAGAGCTATTAGGGTGAGAAAAAGCCTGGGAGCACAATGAAATATTTAAATATTAAACAAAACATTGTTGAAATCTCCATTGTACTTTAGTAGTTGAAGTCATTCTTGTGGTCATCACTGCCTTTCCCAAGCATAACAAGCTACTTAATATCACATGGACCCGTGCCATGAGGAATGATGATCAGTTTGTCAAATGCCAATAAAACAATTGCCTCTATAAGCCACAATGTTTCATCCATATATTTCAATTTCCATGTGTAAGTATAGTTCAAATTTCAGAAATTTATTATTATCTAATAGAATATGCATGGTATATCAATGAGCAATTATCATACTGTTTCTATTAACAATTATTTGTATGATGAAAAAAGCAGACTCCCATTCTTGGATTTTTCTCAGTTTGCACACATTAGCATGACAGCCCCATTTCCACCTGACATGTGCCAGCAAGAGGCCAGGAACAGAGGCTTTTCTTATTAACTAAGATTTCTAAATGTATTACGTATTCACATTTAGAAACTCTAAATATCATAAAAGGTTAGCAAGGAAGTTTCCCTTCCACTCTGAACTTCCAAACACCAAGTCAACGTTTTTGTTTGCATATCATCCCTGCAATCTATGTGCAAATAGAAGCATGCACCTGGAATGCAGGCTGATGTGTGATCGTGTTTACACAAAGTCCTCTGCACCTCTGCATATATCACTGGGCAATGCACCTTAGTTATCATTCCACATTTCAAATGTAAATCCATTGTATTGTTTCAGAGCTATAAAGTACTGCACCCCATGACTATTCCCAAAATTACTTAAGCACCCCGCTATGGGTATCCGTTTGTTCTGTTTCCAGTCTTGCTCTTATAACCAATGCTGTAGTGAACAGCACTGTGTTGAGAAGCGGTGAACGTGGGCATCTTTGTCTTGTTCCCTTCCTCAGGGGGAATGCTTTCAACTCTCCCCCATTCAGGAAAATGTTGGCTGTGGGTTTGTCATAGATAGCTTTTATTACCTTAAGGTATGTCCGTTCTATGCTGATTTTGACGAACGGTTTTAATCATAAAGAAATGCTGGATTTTGTCAAAGGCTTTTTCTGCATCTATTCAGATTATCATGTGATTTTTGTTTTTAGTTTTATTGATGTGATGTATCACATTTATTGACTTGCGTATGTTAAACCATCCCTGCATCCCTAGTATGAAACCCACTTGAATCATGGTGGATTATCTTTTTGATATGCTGTTGGATTCAGTTAGCTTGGTTGTAGCATTTCTTATTATTCCATCTGTGGAATGTATTGGTTGAAATAATGAAAACATGTTCTATCCTCACTGCTTAGCACTTTGTGTTTCTTTAATAGCCTTCCCAACAGGGCAACATAAAAGCAGGAGCCCTGCTAGTCTCCCCTTAACCCGGAATCCCCCCTTCTCCACAGCTCGCTCATTGGACAGGATAGACTGGGCGCCCAGGCTTCAAGGTAAGGACGTGCTCTGTCACCTAGAGGTGCAGTGCTTGGGAAGGCCAACCTTGGAGGGTTGCCTGCCAGCTTTACAGTGACAGAGGTGTTGAGAGGGACTGACCACCAGTGCATAAGGCTGTGCTTTGTTGGTGACATAAAGGATTGTTTCACAGATTGTTGGGGAGGGACAATCCCAAGGCCTCCCCTGGCCCTGGTGCTGGCTCTGCACAAAGGCAATAAGAGAGGGATGCTGGTAAGGGCTGACCTGTTGCTGTGCTGGGGAGGAAGGTGCTGGGCTGAAATTCAGGAGGCTGAGGATGCAGCAGTCCCATAGGAGGTACATGACCTTCAGGATACATTTTCTTCATTGATGATCAATGGAAATGAGAAATCACTGACTATTTTTTCTATCATTGGAATCTACTCTCCACTGCTCATGCTGTTCCTGTCTTTTGGGGAAGATGGAGGATCAATCAGTGTGCGCTGCACTGAGTGGAAGGAAGGAGAACTGTGACAAAAATTAAGGAAGGATGAGAGACGGGAGGGCCCTTCATCCAGCTGCTTGCAGAGTCCTCCTGAGGAGGAAAGCCCCGTGGCTCCCTGGCGAAGGAGCAGTGAGGGCTGCGTGACTCCCACAGTGAAGTGTGTGGTATGTCTGAGGACACCCAGGCTGGTGGTCCATGAGGAGCCAGTGGCAGAGTGAGAAGAAGAAAGGCCAGGAGGGTGGCTGGAGGCCAGGCTCTGAGTCATTCTCCATGTGATGGAAACAGCCGGAGCCCAGTGGGCTTGGAGGTACAGGATGCGGTGGCTGATGACAGAACAATGTGGAGAGAGGCGTCATTTGTCAAATCCTTACTTTGTTCTGGGCATTGTACTAAAAATTCTAATGGCTCATCCCATTTAGGGGCTGAAAGTTGCAGAGGTTTAGGAAGCTCACCCACGATACTGGAGCCCCCATCTCTTGCCCTAGTGCTGTCCACCTTCTCACCCAGCCACCACCTGTTTCGGGGGAACACACAGAAGTGGTAACCTCTTATGGAGAGGCAAGTAAATTCTGCTGTTTTTGTTATTCACAGAAAAACACTGGCTCGTGTGGGTTGGGAAGGTGAAATACCAGAAGTATTTCATCTGGTTATTTCTACCCATGCAACTCCTATAGTATTGAAATGCATAGGTTAGCATTTTTGGCCAATTTACTCAGCATTCTGGGTTAAAGGCTTTTATTTATTTTATTTATTTATTTATTTATTTTTGAGATGGAGTTTCACTCTTGTTGCCCAAGCTGGAGTGCAATGGTGCGATCCTGGTTCATTGCAACCTCCGCCTCCCAGGTTCAAACTATTCTCCTGTCTCAGCCTCCCAAGTAGCTGAGATTATAGGCACATGCCACCACACTGGGCTAATTTTTTTGTATTTTTAGTAGAAATGAGATTTCACCATGTTGGTCAGGCTGGTTTCGAACTCCTGACCTCAGGTGATCTGCCCTCCTCGGCCTCTTAAAGTGCTGGGATTACAGGCGTGAGCCACCACGCCTGCCCTAAAGTCTTTTAAAATTCACTTGTATAAGTTGACTTAGTTTTCTTTAACCTTGTAGAAAAATACAAAAATGGCAATCTCTTTTATCACACAAATAATGTCTTTTTAATGGAGTGATTTTTTTCTAATTGAGGTATTATGTACTTTTCATTTACAAATTATTGTTTACATTTGAAGTGTTTTATGAATTAATATTTAATTGCATAGATGAAGATTACTAGTTATAGGCATTTTACTAACCAATACTCATTAAGCATAGCATGGATTCATATGACATCAAGGAGCTATTTTATTTGGTAAAACGAAAAAGCACAAGAATGAACGAATGCAAGAACTGAAACAGTGGAGACACCTAGAATGACTTGTCTAAGATCTAAATCATTTTGTTGTCTTCCCAGCATACTTATTATCCTGATCATTGTCATCAGCATTGTTTGGGTCCTTTTAGCACAGATTTCTCAAAATGGGTAACTCCATAACAGTTGGAAGCTTACGAATTCATATAATTTGTAAGAGGTCAATTTGGAAGTACCTATCTATTTTAAAATTCCAATAACCTGGGAATTTCATCCCATGTCTAGAGTCTTTTATGTAAAATATTTCCACAATTAGGAGAAATATGTGCATGGGGATTTTCTATGTAGCGGTGTTTTGATAGAATAGAAAATTGGGATAAATCAAATTTCCATCACGAAGGAAATAGTAATATGCTGAATAATAATACAGCGAATATTATGCAGGCTTTAAACATCAAAAAAGAGTTCAACTTCTGACTTCCGATGATGGTGTTGAAGCAGGTCACTGCTGGTTTACATTTGATTTTCATGTGGGAACTCTGGAAGTCCGCCTTAGTGATTTTACATGTGGCTAAATTGAGCTAATGACAAGCCGTTCGAAGTATGGCAAAATGGAACTTTAAAACAGTATCTTGTCAACAACCAAGAGGACCTGTTTCACATAAAGCCCATGCATTCATCTGCCTGTCCATCATTCTGTCTGTCCACACGGGCATCATTCGTTAGTGGAACTGAGTGCCCACTGTCGAGCTGACAAGCCCATAACCTCCCTGTTCCTAGTCACACATTAATTCTTCAACAAGTCCCTTTTGATAGATTGTGATTAAGCTTAGCTACTATTTCCAATTGCTTCCCCAAACGTACTTCTCACTGTTCTCCCATCACACCCTTCAGCCCATCCATGCGGGGTTCCTTTGCTTTTCCCACCTTACACCAAACTCCCTATTTTTACTCCCACTTTTACCTCCTCTCCAAGACAAAACAAACAAAACTAGCATTTTAAAACTTAGTTGTAATCTTTCTTCCTTCATGAAAATTTCTCCAACAGCCACTCCCACGGTCCTGTGTGTTCCAGATATTTTAAAATAATGGCTATAAGGCTGAGCACTTCAGGATATGCTGTTTTGCTGTGTGCAGATGGAGGCAGTGGCTGGAGTGAATGAACGGCAACACTTGCTGGCAACCGGCAGAAGCTGAGAGACAGGGAACAGGCTCTCCTCCAGAGCCTCCAGGAGCCAGGCCTTTGGACACCTTGAATGTGGGCTTCTGGGAGACCATGCGTTTCTGTTATAAGCAGCCCAGTCTCTGGCAGTTTTTACGGCTGCCCCGGAACACTCATCTATACCTGTCTGACAAGGTCAAGCTCCAAGGAAGGGATTCTCTACATATCTACATTGTTTGCAGATTTTACAATAATCATTTATTCTTGCATGGCTGATCATTGTTAACCAATACAAATAAAATAATAAAGAAATGACCCACATTTTATGTTGGGAGTTTGATCTGCCATTTATCAAGTATGGAATCTTGAACAAGGGGTTAAACATCTGAATGTCTCCATCACTTCATCTCTAAAGTGGGGGTGCTCACACCCACTGGGCTCCCCCACCCAGGTTGGTGCCGGACTCTCCCTGGGCCCCCCTGTTCTCTCACCAGCCACATCCATTCTCCCCCCAGAGGCGCTAGTGACTGTGCGTGGCTTTCCATTCCCACCATGTTTGTCTCTAACCCCAGTGGCAGATCAGTGTAAGAACACAGCTGAGTGCTCCTCGCCTCCTTGCCCCTTCAAGGGCTCCTCACCACCCACCAGATCAGGTGCAAACTTCCAAGCCTTACTGGATCCCCTTCCACATTCTGAGCTCCGCCTGCCTTCCCATCGCTATCCTTCCCCACCTGCCTCCCTGGTAGAGAAAAGCAGAGTGTGTGATGCTGTCTGAATGCTGAGCACGGCCTTTTGCAGCCAGTCCACTGTGTATGCTGCCCCTATCGGAGACCTCCACCTTAACCCTTTCCAGCCTGGAGGCTCCTCCCAGGGCCCCACAACAGAAGTGACTTCCCTTGCCTTTGAATTTCTATAGCACAAGCCCTACTGCCCCCCGTTAAAACTGCAAAGTCCTTTTGTGGAAAATAACTTTATTCATGACTGTGTTTATCACACTATCTTATGGAGAAGAGATGATCAATAAATATTTGTTGAATAAATGAATAGCAGTTACAAAACACTTGATTCATATGGAATTAATGTTGGTTCTCAAAGTGAAAAATTACAAACAGCACTGATATTCAGCCAGTATACAAGTCTGGTCACAGCAGTTGTATAATACTGAAATACCCCCTGCCACTGACCTTTGGCCCCCAGATGCCTCCCACTGCCACTGCTCTCCCCACTGGGAACCCCTGAAGTTCCCACAGGCTCATAACTAAAGGGCTAATGTCTCGCACAGCAGCGAGCACCCAGGACCGAGCAGCCACATGGCCGGGTCTGCTGGTGAAAGCATCCATTCTGACTGATCAGGACCTGAGGGGCCTCATGGTTACATATTTTGATAATATCCCTAATTATAAATAAGGCTCAGTTATATAGTTTGAAAACAATGCTTCTCCTCATCGCAAAATCTCTTAGAAGACTCCGTAGATCCAGGAACGGAAATGGAAAATGACAGCGTGTCAATCTCTGAAGGTTTTGGGCATTTCCATTAGCACTCCATCTTCATGTAAACCAGAAGATATGCAGTTTCCTGCCTAGAGAGAAGAGAAGACACATCAGCACAGCGGCATGAAAGCTTCATCAGAAAACAATGCTTCATTAATCCGTGACAGGACAAGCGTCAGCAAACTTCCAGGCGGCTGGATTAGGCCTTCATCTATCCATCACCTTGGAGAGGAACAAAATAGGTGGCCTGGGAAGATAAGCACTATGTTTCTATTCCTTAATATCTAAAGCGGAGGTTAACAAGCTATGGACACACAAGCCAAACCCAGCCCTCTTGGGGTTTTTTAAATCTACTTTCAACTTTTATTTTAGATTCAGCGGGCACATGTGCAGGTTTGTCACGTGGATATGAGCATACTCCCCAACAGTTGGCCTTTCACCCCTCCCCTCCCTCCCCATCCAGCAGTTCCCAGTTGTTGCCATCTTTAAGTCAATGAGTCCCCATGTTTAGCTCCCATTTATAAGAGAGAACATGCATTATGTTTTGTTTGGTTTTTGCTGGTTTTTTTTTTTTTTTTTAATGGAGTCTTGCCCTGTAGCCCAGGCTAGAGTGCAGTGGCACAATCTTGGCTCACTGCAACCTCCGCCTCCCAGGTTCAAACGATTCTCCCTCCTCAGCCTCCCGAGTGGCTGGGACTACAGGCGCCCGCCACCACGCCCGGCTAACTTTTTGTATTTTTAGTAGAGACAGGGTTTCACCGTGTTAGCCAGGATGGTCTCAATCTCCTGACCTCATGATCTGCCCACCTCAGTCTCCCAAAGTGCAGGGATTACAGGCGTGAGCCACCGTGCCCAGCCTTTTGTTTATTTTTTGACGAGACGGTTCTTGCTCTGTCACCAGGCTGGAGTGCACTGGCACAATAATAGCTCACCACAGCCTCGTGCTCCTGGGCTCAACTGACCCTCCTGCCTCAGTTTTAGCTTCCTGAGTAGCTAGGACTACAGGTGTGTACCACCATGCCTAGCTATAATAATTTTTATTTTTTTGTAGAGATGGAGTCTTGCTTTGTTGCCCAGGCTGGTCTTGAAGTCCTGGCTTGAAGTGATCCTCCTGCCTCGGCCTCCCAAATTGCCGGGATTAAAGGTGGGAGATCGCACCCAGTCTCCAACCCTCTTTTTGCAAGTAAATGTAACTGGACCCCAGCCATGCTCATCTGCCCATGTACTGTCTACGGCTGCTTTTGCTCTACAGGGCAGAGTTAAGTGGTTGCAACAGACACCGCACAGACCACAAAGTCTGAAGTACTTTCTCTCCAGCCCTTTACAGAGAAAGTCTGCCAACCTCTAATCTCAATAACAGGGAAATCAATGACAACCACAAAGTGACAAAGACTGGGTGTCTAAGATGGATGCTCAGAATAAACAAGAGAGAAAGATGAAAAGTAGAAGGAGGATTTCAAACGCAAGCTTCACCTAATCCGTTATTTTTCAAATGACCAGGCCTATCTCTGTAGCTGAAAATCACCTCAAATAAGATCTCTGATATACAGTCTCCAAAAGCTCAGCCAAGAAACTTACAAAGTCTCTCTGCCTTAACTTCATCCACCTTTTTTCTCTCCAGCTTCTCCTCGGTAGTTAATGATTATAAAAATATTTATTGGCTCATGCCTGTAATCCCAGCACTTTGAGAGGCCGAGGCGGGCAGATCACGAGGTCAGGAGATCGAGACCATCCTGGCTAACACGGTGAAATCCCGTCTCTACTAAAAATACAAAAAATTAGCCAGGCGTGGTGGCGGGCGCCTGTAATCCCAGCTACTCAGGAGGCTGAGGCAGGAGAATGGCATGTACCCACAAGGCGGAGCTTGCAACGAGGTGAGATCCCACTACTGCACTCCAGCCTGGGCGACAGAGCAAGACTCCATCTCAAAACAAACAAACAAACAAACAAAAAAACAGTGTGATGGCCAGGCGCAGTGCTCATGCCTATAATCCAAGCACTTTGGGAGGCTGAAATGGATGGATGGCTTGAGCCCAGTAGTTTGAGACAAGCCTGGCAACATAGCGAGACCTCATCTCTACAAACATCTTTAAAATATGCCAGGCATGGTGGTGCATGCCTGTAGTCCCAGCTATTCAGGAAGCTGAGGTGGGAGGATCACCTGTGCCCGGGAGTTCAAGGCTGCAGTGAGCTATGATCACACCACAGTGCTCCAGCCTGGGCAACAAAGCAAGACTCCATCTCTAAAAATAAAATAAAATTAAAAAAAAAAGATCTTCGCTGTAAAAGAGGTACACTCAAATGCAATAAAAGCATATAAGAAGGCCGGGTGTGGTGGCTCATGCCTGTAATCCCAGCACTTTGGGAGGCCGAGACGGGCGGATCACGAGGTCAGGAGATTGAGACTATCCTGGCTAACGCGGTGAAACCCCATCTCCTCTAAAAGTACAAAAAAATTAGCTGGGCTAGGTGGCAGGCGCCTGTAGTCCCAGCTACTCAGGAGGCTGAGGCAGGAGAATGGCATAAACCCGGGAGGCAGAGCTTGCAGTGAGCCTAGATAGCACCACTGCCCTCCAGCCTGGGTGACAGAGCGAGACTCCGTCTCAAAAAAAAAAAAAAAAAAGAAAAAGAAAAGAAAAGTTCTTGTGACATTTGTGTATGAAATCAGCCTTCACTACATGGATAGGACCAGCACGCTTCTGCGGCACGACTCTGCAATCTTACTACATTTTTTTTTACTTTGTATTTTATTTATTCCTTTTGAGACAGAGTCTCACTCTGTCACCCAGGCTGAAGTGCAGCCGAGATCTCGGCTCACTGCAACCTCCACCTCTTGGGTTCAAGCAATTCTCTTGTCTCAGCCTCCCAAGTAGCTGGGACTACAGGCACACGTCAAAACGCCCGGCTAATTTTTGTATTTTTAGTAGAGATGGAGTTTTGCCATATTGGTCAAGCTGGTCTCGAACTCCTGACGTCAGGTGATCGACCTGTCTTAGCCTCCCAAAGTGCTAGGATTACAGGTGTACATTTATTTATTTATTTGAGATGGAATCTTGCTCTGTATTTATTAATTTATTTATTTGAGATGGAGTCTTGCTCCATCGCCCAGGCTAGAGTGCAGCGGTGCAATCTCGGCTCATTGCAACCTCTGCCTTCCAGGTTCAAGCGATTCTCCTGCCTCAGTGTCCCAAGTAGCTGGGATTACAGGTGCCTGCCACCACAGCTGGCTAATTTTTGTATTTTTAGTAGAGACAGTGTTTCACCATCTTGGCCAGGCTGGTCTCGGGCTCCTGACCTCATGAACCACCTGCCTCAGCCTCCCAAAGTGTTGGGATTACAGGCCTAAGGCACCATGCTCGGCCATATTTATTTATTTAATTATTTAGAGACAAAGTCTTGCTCTGTCACCCAGGCTGGAGTGCAGTGGCGCCATCTCAGCTCACTGCAGCCTCCGCCTCCGAGGTTTAAGCAATTCTCATGCCTCAGCCTCCTGAGTAACTGGGACTACAGATACTTGCCACCACGCAGGGATTTTTTTTTCTATTTTTTTTGTAGAGACACAGTTTCACCATGTTGGCCAGGCTGGTCTCGAACTCCTGACCTTAGGTGATCTGACAGCCTCGTCCTCTCAAAGCACTGGGATTACAGGCATGAGCCCCTTGCCCGGCCTCTCACTACATTTAAGTGACGCCATGGCTCATGCCTGTAATCCTAGCACTTTGGGAGGCCAAGGCAGGTGGATCACCTGAGGTCAGGAGTTCGACATGAGCCTGGCCAACATGGGGAAACCCCGTCTCTAGTAAAAATACAAAAATTAGTCAGGTGTGGTGGTACAAGCCTGTAGGCCCAGCTACTTGGAAGACTGAGGCAGGAGAATCACTTTAAGCGGGAGGCAGAGGTTGCAGTGAGCCAATATCATGCCACTGCACTCCAGCTTGGGTGACAGAGTGAGATACTGTCTCAAAAAAAAAGAAAAAAAGAGAGAAAAACATATGATGCCAGGGCATCTCGGCCTCAATACCTGGGTGAGCACAGTCATGTCCAGGCCAGGGCTGCTGGTCGAGGTCCGGCCCCATCTCTTCCAGCAGAAAGGGAGTAAGCTTGCAGGGAGGCTGGGGGACAAGATCCCAGGATCTCAGCCTCTGCTCATGGATCAGCTCTGAGACCCCGAGTGAGCTGGGGGTGCTCTGTGCGCATTGGTTTCCCCAGCTGTCAAGTAAAGAGATTGGATGAGGAAGTCTTGTCAAGGTGGAATGATCTCAGATTTGGGGCAGCAGTGAATGATCCCGCTCCCTGGGCCATGCCAGTGGCCCGGCCTCGGCTGAACACAGCCCCAACACTCTGGAATGGGGATGAGGGGGCAGTCAGCTCTTGCTCCTAGTAAGAGAGATGCAACAGGGCTCTGTGGCTGAGCTGGGTGCCTTGCCTCACACCTGTAATCCCAACCTTTGAGAGGCCGAGGCAGGAGGATTGCTCGAGGCCGGGAATTTTGAGAATAGCCTGGACAACATAGCCAGACCCCATGTCTACAAAATAATAATAAAACACACAGCTATAGTCCAAGCTACTTGGCAGGCTGAGGCAGGAGGGTCCCTTGAGTCCAGGAATTGGAGGCTGCATTGAGCTATAATCGCACCACTGCACTCCAGCTTGGGTGACAAAGTGAGACCCTGTCTCTAAAAGAAAAAAAAATTGGCCTGTGAGCATGGGCTTGATTTTCAAACAGGACCCGGAGGGTAGGGTAAACGTGTGGGTAAATCTAAATGAATGTTATTGGTATAAAATTACAGTAGTATAGAAAATGATATCTTGTGGGGTTTAAAATAAATAAAACATACTGAAATATGTATGGGTACAGTTATATATCTGGGATTTGCACTGAAATAATGTGGGGTAGAGGGAAGCAGGAAAGAGTATACATGAAATGAGCTTGGCCATAAGATTGTTGTTGAAATTGAATGGATACTCTGGGCTTCATTACACAATTCTCTTTACTCTTACATAGCTCTACACTCTCAACATAAATAAGAATAAAAACACAAAAAACACACAGATACATCTATGCACACACACATATTTAAAATACACAAAAATATTAGCATATAAGTCACTGGGGGTAAATTTAGTTCCTGTTCCAAGGTTCTTGTACTGACTAGGAAGAGGATAGAAGTACTAACTCATAGGCTGGGCGCGGTGGCTCACGCCTGTAATCCCAACACTTTAGGATGCCGAGGTAGGCAGATCTCTTAAGGTCCGGAGTTCAAGACCAGCCTGGCCAACATGGTGAAACCCTGTCTCTACTGAAAAAGAATACAAAAATTGGCCGGGCATAGTGGTGCACACCTGTGGTCCCAGCTACTCAGGTGACTGAGGCAGGAGAATTGCTTGAACCCAAGAAGTGGAGGTTGCAGTGAACCAAGATTGCTCCACTGCACTCCAGCCTGGGCAGCAGAGGAAGACTCTCTCTATCTCAACCACAACAAAAAGTACTAGCTCATGTTAGACTTTGATAAGGGAAGGATGCATGTTGTAAGCTCTAAAATAATCCAGTCATCTTTTAAAATAACTCTAAGACTGCACAGTTATGAAACTAATAGAGAAGGAGGAAATTAAATAATAAAACTAATAAATCCAAAACAAGATGTGAGAGGAGATAAGAAGAAATAGAATAGGCATGGAAAACAAATTGGTGGTGGGTTTCAACCCAAATAAATCATTAGTTACATTTAAAAGGACAATAAAAATTAAAATAATTGAAAATAAAGTAAAACCCAACTAATGCCTTTTATATAAGGGTACAGAGAGGTGGAAGATCATGAAAAATATGTCATGCATGTACTAACCAAGAAAGCTGTATAACTTTTTTTTTTTTTTTTTTTTTTTTTTTGGAGATAGAGCCTCACTCTGTCTCCCAGGCTGGAGTGCAGTGATGTGATCTTGGCTTACAGCAATCTCTCCCTTCTAGGCTCAAGCGATTCTCCCACCTCAGCATCCCAAGTAGCTGGGACTACAAGTGTGCCAACTTAGAATTATATTAGCCACACCCAGCTAATTTTTGTATTTTTTGTAGAGGCAGGGTCTCGCCATGTTGCCCAGGTTGGTCTTGAACTCCTGGGCTTCAGTGATCCACCCACCTCGACCTCCAGCAAAGTGCCAAGATTACAGCCATGAGCCACCATGCCCAGCATAACTATTTTTAATGAAGTAGACTTTAAGAAGAAAAGTATTATTAGAGGTAAGGGACACATCACAGAAAAGAAGAATTTACTAGGAGCCAGGCGCAATGGCTCGTGCCTGTAATTCCAGCACTTTGTGAGGCCAAGGCGGCGGATCACCTGAGGTTGGGAGTTCAAGACCAGCCTGACCAACATGGAGAAGCCCTGTCTCTACTAAAAATACAAAAATTAGCCAAGCATGGTGGCACATGCCTGTAATCCCAGCTACTCAGGAGGCTGAGGGAGGAGAATTGCTTGGACCCAGGAAGTGGAGGTTGCGGTGAGCTGAGATTGTGCCATTGCATTCCAGCCTGGGCAACAAGAGCAAAACTCTGTCTCAAAAAAAAAAAAGAAGTTACTAGCTAGTTTCGGTAATTCTTAACATCCAGGAAACTGGATGTGAAAGTTTTTCAGAGAAACTAAACCAATAGATTATACATAGAGAGAGACTTATTTAGGAATTGGCTCACATGATTGTGGGGACTAGCAAGTTTTAAAATCTGTAGGGCAAGCCAGCAGGCTATAAATTCAGGTAAGAGTTGATCTCGAAGTCTGGAACCTAAAATCTGTAGAGCAGTCAGCAGGCCAGAAACTCAGGCAGGGTTTGTGTGTTACAGTCTTGAAGCAGAATTCCTGCTTCTCTGGGAAACCTCAGTTTTTGTTCTTAAGGCCTTCAACTGATTGGAGGTGGCCCACCCATATTATGGTGGGTAATCTGTTTTACTTAAAGTCAATTGACTGTCAGTGTTAATCACATCTATGAAATAACCTCCCAGCAAGATATTGACAAGTATTTGACCAAACAACAGGACACCATAGCTTAGCCAAGTTGACACATAAATTAACCATCAGGAGCAAGTAGAATATCCAAAAAACAACATACTAGGGGTATTATATCTTATATAGCTATTATAATTATATAAAACATATAATTATAGAATGACGATATTAAGATAACCATTAGAACAAAAATATAAACTTTTCTTTCTTTTTTTTTTTTTTTTTTTGAGACCAAGTCTTGCTCTGTCACCCAGGCTGGAGTGCAGTGGTGCAATCTTGGCTTACTGCAACCTTTGCCTCCTGCGTTCAAGTGATTCTCCTGTCTCAGCCTCCCAAGTATCTGGGATTACAGGCACCTGCTACCATGCCCAGCTAATTTTTGTATTTTTAGTAGAGACATGGTTTCACCATGTTGCCCAGGCTGGTCTCCAACTCCTGACCTCAAGTGAGCCACCCCCCTTGGCCTCCCAAAGTGCTGGGATTACAGGTGTGAGCCACCACACCCAGCCAAAAATCACCTTTTTTACAAGGATCAAAACAGTCATTATGCTGGAGATGACAGACCTCACTGTCACCATGCTCCTTTTGTATGTCTACTAGGCACGGTGCTGGGTCCACACTCACAGAAACCTTAGGAACTCGCACCCAGGGGCTCCGGCTGTAGCAGAATCCCAAGAATAAAACCTGGTGCTGAAAGAGTAGGAGATGAGGCCGGGTGCCATGACTCACTCCTGTAATGCCAGCACTTTGGGTGGCCAAGGCGGGTGAATCAAGAGATAGAGACCATCCTGGCCAACACGGTGAAACCCCGTCTCTACTAAAAATACAGAAATTAGCGGGGCGTGGTGGCTGGCACCTGTAGTCCCAGCTACTCAGGAGGCTGAGGCAGGAGAATCATTTGAACCGAGGAAGCAGAGGTTGCAGTAAGCTGAGATCGCGCCACTGCACTCCAGCCTGGTGACAGAGTGAGACACCGTCCCAAAAAAAAAAAAAAAAAAAAAAAGCAGGACACTGAACTCTGGGAGGGCCTCCTGGTGAGAGGTGAGCACAGAGGGGAGAGATGGAGGCAGGAGCATGGGCTTCTGGTGGCCCCAGCAGACCCTGTGGCAGCGTGGCCAGGGTCCTCTGCAGGGAGGAATCTTGGCCAGGATGACGCTGTAGCAGGCCTCTTCCTGAGGCCTCCAGCCAGCCCGGCCAGGGTCCCAGCGTCCAGTGACCCCTGTTTCACAGCAGCAGCTGGGGCCAGCCCCAGGCTCTCTTCCACTCCCAGCTTCTTAAAACTGGAAGTGGAGAGAGTTGTTTGATAAAACACTGGGGCAAACCACATCCTCTCTTCACCAAGGGAGAGTTCGAGGGGATGCCGGCAGAGGGAGCTTTAGAGTAGAGACCCCTACCCAACCAGTGACCGTCACGCACACAGCAGGGCATGCTATGGAGACCCCCAGACAGTCACTCGGGGAGACCCAGCAGGTCCAGACTCTTCAGAGATCTGTGGCAGCAGGTCCCCACTCCCAAAAGCCACGTGCCCACGGGTGGTCTCTGGTGCCTGAGACCCCAGTCTCATTTGCATCTTTGCAACTTCGAGTTTAAGTGGGTGTCGCATCTCTGTATGTCCTCCCGAGCAGAGGAGGGGCACAGCCTGGGGTGGCAGCTGGCGTCAAACCCTCAAATCCCCTGAGAGCCACTGGGGAGACTAAGCAGTCCCCAGCCCCCACTTGTCCCTGAGCTGCCATTCTCAGCCCTGTGGGAGGAGACAGAAAGCCCTGAAGAGAAACCAAAGGACCAGGTCAGGAGGGGCTGGGGGGGTGGCATGAGCAATCAGGGCAGGGAAGGATGGACCGATGGGGGAATGGAGGGAAGAAGGAATGAATGAAAAGGTGAATGAATGAACAAAGAGAGAGAACGGCCACTCCTCCCTTGCTTTAGTTTACAAAGTACTGGGATCCTCCCAACAGCCTGCAAGACAGAATTTCTGGGAAGCAGACCAGGTGGCTGGCAGGGAGGGGAGGCTTGCCCTGGCTTTTGTGGGCCCAATGGGAGGCAGGGGGCAAGAAGGGGCATCCTGTGTGTGTCCTCCCTGCAGTGGCAGCAGCACCTTCCTGGAAGAGGGTCAGGAAACACCCGCTGTGGCCCCTCTCCACCACGCCCTCATCCAGGACACCAAGTATCAGTCACTCAGCTCACGAGACCCAGGCCCTGACTCAGGGAGAGAGGATGTGAGGGGTGGGGCACCGGGCTCCTCAGGACTGAGAGACCTGGGATGTGGCCCCGGGCTGGGTGTAGGGGCAGACTGGCTATGGCAGCATTGTGTGTACCCCAGCAGGCCAGTACCCACGCAGGGAGCCTCCAAACCCCTTCACCCATGACCCTGGGAGAAGACCGCAGCCTTGGAGAATTGGCCTCACTGAAGGGGCCTGCACCGGCCAGCAGGGTCAGGCGGGGCCAGACAGGTTCCCACCTGGGATATGCAAATGGGCCTCCTGAATCCTGGAGCCAGGTATGGACTCACACACCACCATTGTCCCCAAGTCCCCATCTGCCCCACGGGCACACCCTGCCGCCTGTTCTGTGCAAGGGCCCTGAGGCTGTCTCCTTGCGCCCAAGACCTGCAGGTGCTGAAGCCCACACACACGGCTCCTGCTTCCTGGGCCAGTGCACGTGCACACACACACACGTGCACACACACACACACACCCACAAATATACCCACACACAATCACACACATTCACACATACCCACCCCCCATACTCACACACACATTTACACACACCCACACACCCACACTCACACACTCACAGTCACACACACCCTCACACAGCGAAACACAATCACACACATTCACACCCACCCACACCCCACACACTCACACTCACATATACTCACACACACCCACACACACATACACAAACACAATCACACACATTCACACACACCCACACTCACACATACACACACCCAAACACGATCACACACATTCACACACACCCACACCCCACAAACACACTCACACATATACCCACACACACTGACACATAATCTCTCACACACACACATGCTCACACACACACGCCTTCTCCAGGAGGGGCTGGCTGCCAAAGGCCACCCAGCTTCCTCCCACGTCTCACTCACCGTACAATATTTGAGAAGACCTTGGAGTCAGCAGCAACAGCGGCGTGGGCAAAGGCCGGGGGTCAAATGGGGCCTGGTGTCGAGAGAGGACCACAGCCAGCACAATGACAGCCAGCGCCAGCCCCAGCCCCAGCCCCAGCAGGACCAGGTCACCCATGGCTCCGTAGTCCTGGGCCATGGCTCTGCGGCCCAGAAGGAGAGGGGAGGCCGGTGGGCAGATGGAGGGACAGATGGGTGGGCAGATGAATGGACAAGAAGATGCATAGATAGACTCACAGGTAATTGGACAGATGGACAAACAGGTGGGGGCTGAAGACAGACACGAAGATGGATCGACAGACAGGCCAGATAGCTAGACAAAGAGGACAGTAAGAGAAAGATGGTCAGATAGACAATGGGACAGAGATGGGCTTACAGATGGGCGGACAGACAGACAGGTCTGAACAGCGGGCTGCCAGATGGACAGATGGGTGAATGGACAGATGGCTGGCAGCTGTGGCGAGCTGCTGCCCTCACCAAGTGCACACTACGGAGTGGCCAAACTCATGCCTCAACTTCTAGTTTTCAGCTCCTGCTTGTTCCTGGCAGGAGGCCAGGCAGCAAAGCGTCTGAGGGGAGTTTTCTTTGCCTAGAGAAGTCAGCTGCTGTGTTAACTCCCTCACTGCTGGTAGGTCCAAAGGCCCCACCTACCGCCCGCCAGAGCCCATGGTCACACTGTCGCAATGTGCAGGAGAACTTGGTGCGTGCTGCACTGCGGTTGCCAGGTAGGGGCAGGGCTCCCTGGAACCTCCACACCATTCCCCAGGTTCTCAGCAGCTCTGGGAAAGCAGAGCTGGGGCCGCTTAACTCTGCCCTGGATCCGGCAAGGCTGCCCCCCTCCCAGAGTGGAGCCCTGCTCCCCAGCTCCCATCTCTATCCCCTAACCCTCTCCGCATGGCCCAGCCTAGTCAGCATCAAGGTGGAGCTGAACAGAGGCAGAAGGAGGAGGACCCAAGGTGGTGTCACTCAGGACCCGGGTTCAAGTCCTTATGCTTCTGCAGCCTGGCCTGGGTCCCCCAACTCCCCCAGGGTGACCAAGGGCTTTCCAGTCTGCACAGAGGACAGGGGGTCTTGACAGCATCAAATTCTGGTGACTACGAGACACTTACGTGGGAAATGCAGACAGACCATGCCTCTAGCCCTTGGCACCAGGCACCATCCATCCCTGGGACTTGCTGTCCTGGAAATGCAGCATGGTCCTCCAGGGAGGGGGGCTGTGCCATGTGGGGGCCCCACCCCACCTGCAGCTCTTTCCCACCCTGGCTGCAGGTCTGCTTCCCTGAATCCAAATCCGCTACTACTGTGCTGGCAGCGCAGCCTCTCTGGGGACACTGGCCTGGCTCTGTTCTCCCCAGGCCTCAGGGTGCCTAAATGGGAGGCAACCAGGGGAGTGAGGACCCACTGAGGGGCTCCGTTGACCAGGCTCAGCAGGGGTGCAGGTGATGTGGGGTGGAATCCTTCCCACATGGCCCCCACAGTCCTCCCCGCTTCCTCCCCAACTGAACACTGCCTGCTCCAGATGTGTACACCTGGAGTCTGGGCCCCTCCATCTGGGCAGCAGAGAAACTGAGGCACAGAGACAGACTGTGTCCTTACAGGGCACACAGCCTGCCAGGCCCCTATGTCCGGCCAGAGCCCCTGGTCAGCCTGGGCTGCAGTGATTGTTTAGAGGTAGGCTGTTCCCACGGCTGCCTCTCACGGTAGGGGGGCCTGTGGACGCCTCCTCCCGCCCCCACCCGACTCCCAAGCCTCAGTGACATTGCTCAACCAGGAGCTGAAGTGCATTCCTGGGCTCCGGCCAGCCCACCCACCCACCCGCTGCAGTCCTGGAAGCCCAGAGGCCTGGGCAGCAGGAACAGTGGAGACAGCAGTGTGGGGGACGTCCCCCTCCTCTCCCCACCATCCTCGTCAGGCAGAGGCCAGGGTGCAGGGACCACCGGAGCAAAGGCCCAGGGAAATGAATGGGTGTCATTCTGGTCCTGACCCGAGGCACAGCCAGGAAGGTCCCTGTGGGGAAAAGAAAGAGATATCAGACTGTTACTGTGTCTATGTAGAAAGAAGTAGACGTAAGAGGCTCCATTTTGCTGTGTAGTAAGAAAAATTCTTTTGCCTTGAGATGCCGTTAATCTGTAACCCTAGCCCCAACCCTGTGCTCACAGAAACATGTACTGTGTCGACTCAAGGTTTAATGGATTCAGGGCTGTGCAGGATGTGCTTTGTTAAACAAATGCTTGAAGGCAGCATGCTTGTTAAGAGTCATCACCACTCCCTAATCTCAAGTAAGCAGGGACACAAAACACTGCAGAAGGCCGCAGGGACCTCTGCCTAGGAAAGCCAGGTATTGTCCAAGGTTTCTCCCCAGGTGACAGTCTGAAATATGGCCTCGTGGGAAGGGAAAGACCTGACCGTCCCCCAGCCCGACACCTGTAAAGGGTCTGTGCTGAGGAGGATTAGTAAAAGAGGAAGGCCTCTTTGCAGTTGAGATAAGAGGAAGGCATCTCTCTCCTGATCGTCCCTGGGCAAAGGAATGTCTCAGTGTTGATTGTATATTCCATCTGCTGAGATAGGAGAAAACTGCCTTAGGGCTGGAGGTGGGACATGCTGGTGGCAATACTGCTCTTTAATGCATTGAGATGTTTATGTATATGCACATCAAAGCACAGCACCTTTTTCTTAACCTTGTTTATGACACAGAGACATTTGTTCACGTGTTTTCCTGCTGACCCTCTCCCCACTATTACCCTATTGTCCTGCCACATCCCCCTCTCTGAGATGGTAGAGATAATGATCAATAAATACTAGGGAACTCAGAGACTGGTGCCAGCGTGGGGCCTCCATATGCTGAGTGCAGGTCCCCTGGGCCCACTTTTCTTTCTCTATACTTTGTCTCTGTGTCTCTTTCTTTTCTCAGTCTCTTGTCCCAGCTGATGAGAAACACCCACAGGTGTGGAGGGGCAGGCCACCCCTTCAGGTCCCTGAATGTCCTTCCTCAGGAAATGATGGGGGAAGGGGCGATGAGAATGAAGGAGACGATTTAAGTCCCTCACCCCCCGAGGTAGTCCTGGGCTGAGCCCCATGGGACCTAGAGAACCAGGGTGTACCCCACCAGCATGTCGGGTCCAGGAAGCCTCGTGGCCAGCTCCCACTTCTCTTCCTGCTGTGCAACCCAGAGCAAGGCCTGCCCCTCCAGCTTCAGTCTTCTCCCCTGCAAATGGGGCCACGGCCTTTCCTCTCAGGCCAATATAAGGATTGAGGCCGGGTGCAGTGGCTACCCCTGTAATCCTAGCACTTTGGGAGACTGAGATGGGGGGACTGCTTGAAGTCAGGAGTTAAGACCAGCCTGGTCAACATAGTGAGACCCCATCTCTATTGGTTTAAATTTTTTTTAAAAAAATTAAATAAATAAAATAAGGATTGAAGAGTGACTTGTACACCAGTTGAGCCCACCTCCATCTCACCCTTGCAGAGCCCCAGAGACACAGCCCTCCAGAGCTCAGACCCAGTGGGACTTGACTCCACAGGCATAAAACCCTGTTTGTCTATGGGCCCTTTGGAATCACCAGGTTTTCGGGGCTCCTGAAGGATAGCCCCGACCTGGCCTCACCTGGCCCCTGGCCCCAGTGCCCCTGGTGATATCCAGGTGCTGGGCTGTGATCACCGCCTCCCACCAGCCCACCTCCACCAGCCCTTCCCAGAACCCTGCTCCAGGTGTTGGAACTGTGCACAGAGGAGGGAGCAGGCCCCGAGGGAGGCCTGGAGGGGCTGCCAATGGTGAAGGCTGCTGTGTCGAGCTGTTTCCTTCCGGACCCACTCCCTCTGGGCTGCGTCCCCGGCTGGTCCAAGCCCTGAT
Source organism: Homo sapiens (assembly GCF_000001405.40). Taxonomy (NCBI): domain Eukaryota; kingdom Metazoa; phylum Chordata; class Mammalia; order Primates; family Hominidae; genus Homo; species Homo sapiens. Next base: position 18,515,775 of record NC_000022.11, read on the forward strand.
CCCTGGGATCTGGGGACATCTTCCCGTTTGCTGTTCCCTGAGAACCAGGCCTCCCTGTGGAGAGGATCACAAGCTTGGGTTTCACTCTGGGCTTGCTCTTGGGAACCCCCCAGGGGCATGGCTCTGACCGAGATGTTTTCCTCCAGCCTGTTGCCCAGTCCCCATTCCTCGGACCCTCAGCTTCACCTCCAGTGTCATCGGCAGGGTGAGCTGGACGCCTACGGGTCTGAGAAGGCGCCCGGGTTCCCAGCATCGGCTGGCCACCCTCTGCCTAAGAAAGCGCCAGGGTCGTGACACCCCCTGGTGGCTGATCCTAGGTAGTGTCACTGCCCAGCCCCAGTAAGGGAGGGCCTGGCCCCAAAGTCTGAGGGATCAGGGTGGGAAGGGGCAGGGTTTGGTGTGAACCTTCCCCTGGCCCCCAGCCATGTGCCTTGCTCTCCCCATGCTGAAGATGCTGAGGCTAGTTCCAGTGCCCGCATTGTGAAGATCTCCGAATCCCACCTCTCTGTTCCTCCCCAGCCAGATGGCTCCATTTCACACACAATACACTGAGGCCCAGAGAGTGGGGAGACAGGCCAGGGAGGCCACCTGGAGCCTGGCACAGTGGCCTCATTTATTATGCTGCTCTGCTGCTCACAGGGGAAGCCCGTCCCCCAAAGTCCTCTTCCTCATCCTGGTGAGTATCTTGTCCCTGGATTGCTTGTCAGCCTTGTCTGCCTGGAGCAATCAGTAGCCAGCAGGTTCCCCGCCTTTCCTGGAGTCCGAGGCAGCTGCCCAGCCACCAGCCGTGCGGACGATGGCTTGCACCACAGCGATGAAGGTGGATGCGATCTGGGTGTGATGGTGCCGGGTCTCCAGGGCTGCAGTCACTGCCTGGGGGTGGGAGGAGAGGGGAAGCCTGAGCAGGGCTCCAGATGCCACCTGAACCACACCTGTGTGGTCACAGGCCTCAGCCCAGGTGGTGCCATTTCAGGCCAGGTCATCAGGAAGAGCAGGTTGGGGCCTGCTGGGTCTCACTGGAGCAGGGGGCTTGGCTCTCATGTCACAGGGGCTCCAGATGGCCCAGGCACTAGAGAGAGGACACCAACCATTGTCCACTCTGTGATGATCCAGGCCTCCAGCCCAGGATGCCCTGGGACCCCACACCGTGACTCAGTTTCTCCAACCCCTGGCCCACCTGGTCAATGTTTCTCTCCACTGTCGTGACGTTGGGCAGAAGCTTGTTGTGCAGCCGGGGCTCCTCCACGGCCCTCTTCACGTCATAGCCGAACCAGAGGTTGTAGATGATGGCCTGGGGCATGGGAGTGTGATCAGCGTGGCTTGGGGGCTGTGCAGAGTGGGCAGGGCCAGGGAGAAAAGGGGTGACACATACCAGTGCAGTGTCTGTGGTGATCTGCGTGCCCCCAGCAGCTCCCACCACCATCCGGACCTGGCCGTCCTGGCCCACCATGATCGTCGGGCACATGGACAAGAGCGGCTGCTTCCCTGCGGCCGATGGGAGAAGACAGGGATGCCCGTCAGCTGCCTGCCCAGGACACCCGCCCCTCTCCACCCCAGTCCCCCACCCCCCAGACCTCCACCCCATACCTGGCTGGATGAAATTGGCAGGTGAGGGGGGTGCCCCAAACTCATTGGTGAATGCTGGGAGAGCTGAAGTCGTCCATTCATTATTGAACAGGATCCCACTGACCGGGGAGCAGACCTTGGAGCCAAAGCTACCGCCCAGCCAGGTCAGACAGCACCCGACCTTGCCTGGCCCAGCCTGGTCCCTATCCACCCACTGAGGCTCAAACATACTCACTGAGAGGCCCAGGATAAGCTACCAAGGTTGGGCCTCAGTTTCCCACCAGGAAAAGAGGTGATGGAGCCACCTTACTGGATAAGTGGGCAGTCCCTGGGCCACCCGCCCCTGGCCCTTTCCCACCCAGGCGGCCCAGCAGCCCCTACTAGAGGTTGATGGTGCTGGTGGCGGACACAGCACTGCCGTCCTCTGCGACGACAGACAGGTGAGCAGTGCCCCCGTCATCCGGCGTGTAGAACTCGGGCTTGTAGTAGGAGATCGGGTGAGTGGTGTGGTCAGAGATCTGGGACCGGAGCTGGGCAGCGAAGAACTCAGAGGTCATGTTGCGGACCACCTGCTGAGACCCCAGAGCTGGCCTGAGGAGGTGGGGAGGGAGGGTGGGGAGGGGGCACAGGTCTCAGAAGGCCCTTGACTGTGACTCTGACCGCAACCCTCTGGCACCCACAACCTTCCGTGGCTCCCCAGGACCCAAGGGCAGGCCCAAGACCTTGCATGACCAGTCTGACTCCCTGTCTCTGTCGCGTTCCAGCAACTCTGAATGTCTGTCTGCCTGGTCCTCAGCCTCCAGACCCTTGCCGCATTCAATCACTCATTCTTTCATGCAAAAAATATTTCTACAATTTGCACTGCATGCCTGGCACTGGGGAATCAACAGGGAACAGACACTTAGGTCCTGCCCTCATGCCAAGAAAAACAAACACACACAGGGAAAGTGCTGAAACCACAGGCCAGGTAAGGGGAATCAAGAGGCATGAGGTATGGGCAGAGTGGTCAGGGAGGGCTTCTCAGAGGAGGCAACGTGTGAAAAGAGCCTGGAAAGTGGCCTAAATGGTCAGTGCAAAGGCCCTGAGGCAGGTGGCATAGGCTGGTGAGCGATAGGCAGAGAGTGAATGGAGTAGGGTGGGGAGAAGAGGATGAAGATGCAGGCTGGGGCCCATCCCACAAGACCTCCTAGGTCCCATAACAACTGGCTTTTGCTCTGTGCCATGCAGGCTTAGGACAGAGGAATGAGCAGGCTGGGGAGTGTTTTCACAGGGTCCCTCTGGCAGCTATGACGGGGATAAGGATAAAGCCCAAAGGGGAGGCTGTGGGTATCAACCAGGCAAGAGATGATGGCCTGGGTGGGAGAAAGAGAAGAAGCCTGTGCGTTCTGTCCATGTGATGAGGTGGGCTCCTCTCAATCTTCACACAGCACAGCTGAGCCTCAAACCCAGCACTCACCCTGACCTCTCACCTCCCCACAAGGTAGGAAAACCTGTTGCCCAGGCTGGAGTGCAGTGGCACGATCCCGGCTCACTACAACCTCTGCCTCCTGGGTTCAAGCGATTCTCCTGCCTCGGCCTCCCAAGTAGCTGGGACTATAGGCGCCCACCACCACGCCTGGCTAATTTTTGTATTTTTAATAGAGACAGGGTTTCACTGTGTTGGCCAGGCTGGTCTTGAACTCCTGACCTCGGGATCCACCCACCTCGGCCTCCCAAAGTGCTGGGATTACAGGAGTGAGCCACCGCATCCAGCCCCTATTTCTTTTTAAGACACGGTCATGATTCATTGCCCAGGCTGGAGTGCAGTGGCACGATCACGGCTCACTTCAGCCTCACACTCCTGGGCTCAAGCAATCTTCCTGCCTCAACCTCTTGAGTAGCTGGGACTATAGGAATGCCGCACCACACCTGGCTAATTTAAATTTTTTTTTTTTTTTTTTGTAGAGGTCTCACTATATTGCCTAGGCTGGTCTTGAACTCTTGGGTTCAAGCAGTCCTCCCACCTCAGACTCCCAAAGTGTTGGGATTACAGTTGTGAGCAACCATGCCCAACCAGATTTTATTTTTATTTTTATTTTTGAGACAGGGTCTCACTGTATCACCCAGGCTAGAGTACAGTGGTATGTTCACGGCTCACTGCAGCCTTGGCTTCCTGGGCTAAGTAATCCTCCCACTTTAGCCTCCCTAGTAGCTGGGACCACAGGCACACACCACCATGCCCAGCTTTTTATGTTTTTATTTTTTTATTTTTTGTAGAGATGAAGTTTTGCCATGTTGCTCAGGCTGGTCTGAAACTCCTGGGCTCAAGCGATCTGCCTGCCTCAGCCTCCCAAAATGTGGGGATTTCAGGGGTGAGTCACCACACCTGGCCCAGATTTTATTATTTAAGTTAACATTTTGTTACCATTGCTTAAAGCCACCTGGTCCTTTTCATCAGATAGTTTCTTACAGCCAGGCACAGTGGCTCACACCTGTAATCCCAGCACTCTGGGAGGCTGAGACAGGTGAATTGCTTGAGCCCTGGAGTCTGAGACCAGCCTAGGCAACACAGTGCAACCATGTCTCTACTAAAAGTTTTGGTCTCGATCTACTGACCCCGTGATCCGCCCGCCTTGGCCTTCCAAAGTGCTGGGATTACAGGCGTGAGCCACCGCGCCGGCCTAAATATTTTTTTTTTAATTAGCTGGGTGTGATTGAGGCTGGGCACTGTGGCTCACGCCTGTAATCCTAGCACTCTGGGAGGCAGGTGGATTGCCTGAGCTCAGGAGTTCAAGGCCAGCCTGGGCAACATGGCGAATCCTCGTCTCTACTAAAAATACAAAAAAAAAAAAAAAAAAAAAAAAAAAATTGGCCAGGTGCAGTGGCTCACGCCTGTAATCCCAGCACTTTGGGAGGCCAAGGCGGGTGGATTACCTGAGGTCAAGAGTTCAAGACCAGCCTGGCCAACATGGTGAAACCCTATCTCTACTAAAAAATACAAAAATTAGCTGGGTGGTGGCGGGTGCCTGTAATACTGGGTACTCGGGAGGCTGAGACAGGAGAATTGCTTGAACCCAGGAGGTAGAGGTTGCAGTGAACCGAGATCACGCCATTGCACTCCAGCCTGGGCAACAAGAGCGAAACTCCGTCTCAAAAAAAATTAGCTGGGTATGGTGGCATGTGCCTGTAATCCCAGCTGCTTTGGGGGCTGAGGCATGAGAATTGCTTGAACCGGAAGGCAGAGGTTGCAGTGAGCCAAGATCGTGCCACTGCACTCCAGCCTGGGCAACAGAGTAAGATTATCCAAAAAGAAAAAAAAAAATTAGCGGGTGTGGCTACACCTGTAGTCCCAGCTATGTGGGAGGCTGAAGTAGGAGGATCGCTTGAGTCCAGGTGGTGGAGGCTGCAGTGAGCTATGATTGTGTGACCGCACTCCAGCCTGGGTGACAGAGCCAGACCCTGTCTCAAAAAGAAAAGGGTCATGATGCCTCCCCAACAGGATATGGTGGGGACGCTCCAAGACCATGGGAGAAGAGGATACGAGCCGGAGCTATGGAAGAAGTGAACACGTAAGACTCCAGAGGCAAACTGCCCGTCTAGACAGCTCTGGCCTGCAGAGCCCACCACTCCCAGGCCAGCGCCGTGAGGTCCTGTTGAGCCACCCACCTCACTGTGATCATCCCCAGGTAAACCCTCGGACGTGGGCCCGGTGCCCTCCTTGCTGAGGCTGAAGCCACGTGGCCATGAAAACCTGAGCATCACAAGCCGCTCTCTGCGTTTGTGGTGTGATCAGGGCCTTCTACCACAAGCCATGTGCCCAGGCTGATCCTCTCTAATGTGGAGAGGCGGCTGCGCTGGAAAGGCCTCAGTAAGAGCAGCTGGGCCCTTGCAGACAGACATCACGGTGTGACCCTCGGGACTGGCTCCCTGCGGCCACTGCAGCACAGGTGTTCACATCTCACAGTGGAGGCAGTGGAGACCATGCTCGCCTGCAGGCTCTCGGCGAGGCTCTGAGTCTGGCCCCTTGCGTAGCCCCTGGTGACTCCTTGGCTTCTGGAGCGGAACTCCATCCTTCACATGGCGCTTTCCTCGAGGGCCTGTGTGCGTGTCATCTGTGGCCAAGTTCCCACTTCATAAGGACATCAGTCATATTGGATGGGGTCCCACCCTGCTCCAATGAGACCCCATCTTTTTTTTTTTTTTTTTTTTGAGACAGAGTCTTGCTCTGTGGCCCAGGAGGGAGTGCAGTGGCACGATCTTGGCTCACTGCAAGCTCCGCCTCCTGGGTTCACGCCATTCCCCTGCCTCAACCTCCCAAGGAGCTGGGACTACAGGCGCTCGCCACTGCACCCGGCTAATTTTTTGTATTGTTAGTGGAGACGGGGTTTCACTGTGTTAGCCAGGATGGTCTTGATCTCCTGACCTTGTGATCCACCCTCCTCGGCCTCCCAAAGTGCTGGGATTACAGGCATGAGCCACCGCGCCCGGCTGAGACCCCATCTTAATCACACCTGCAGTGACCCTGTTTTCAAGTTAAGGCCACATTCTGAGGTATTGAAAATTAGGACTCCAATATGAATTCGGGGGGACCCAATTTAACCTGTAATATGTATATCCCAAATGCAATTTTCTCCTTTTTTCTTTTAGACAGTTGCTCTGTCACCCAGGCTGGAGTGTAGCTCTTGGCTCACTGCCTCTGCTTCCCGGGCTCCCGCAATCCTCCACCTCAGCCTCCTGAGTAGCTGGGACCACAGGCGCACACCACCACACCCAGCTAATTTTTGTATTTTTGAGAGAGATGAGGTTATGCCATGTTGCCCAGACTGGTCTTGAACTCCTGAGCTCAAGAGATGCACTCACCTCAACCTCCCAAAGTGCTGGGATTACAGGTATGAGCCAGCATGCCTGGCCTCCAAATGAAATTTTCAGAAAGGCCTTTTCATAATAGTAACGGGAAACAAGTGACATAGGCATAGCCTTGATAAATGTGCCAAAAGCCCATTTGGAAATAGCACATTTGTAGGAGGCCTGAGGCAAGACTTGTGGGATTGGACGGGAATGCTCTGTTCCTGGGACCAATACCTGATGATGGAGAGTGTCCATTCTTCCCTTTAAAATTTTTATTTTAATATTTTATTTTTAAAAAGGGGTCTTGCTATGTTGCCCTGGCTGGTCTGGAAGTCCTAGGATCAAGTGGTCCTCCCACCTTGGCCTCCCAAAGTGCTGGGATTACAGGTGTGAGCCACTGTGCCCAGCCCATTCTTCCCTTTTAATATATACGCTTCACATACAGGCTTTGTTTTTGCAACTCCTATCAAATCCCAACAATGTATTTGGGAGAATTTGACAAGACAGTTCTAAAGTTTATCTGAAAGAGAAGCAGCAGATCCTAAATGGCTTTCCCCAGGCCCAGCACTGGCAGATAGCACCTTTCTAACCTTCGGGTGTGAATCCAAGGGTGGTGGTGGAGCTTCAGGACACATGCACCCTCGTGTCCCTCCTCTATGTAAATGGAAGCCTTCAGTGCCAGCTCCTTTAGGTTGTAAGGACTGAACACGCTCACAGAAGTCGTGTGCACAGTGAGGTGGGGGCTGAAATGCAGCAGCTCCTCTCCCTGTGTTCTGTCCCCGCCCCACCTCTCCCCCACCTCAACTTTGACCACTAGGGGACCAATTATAACATGAGATGGCAAGAATAGCTCATGTAAAGCCACCCCACCCCAGTCACCTGGTTGCTGCATAGTGTCACATTCATAGGAGTACAATTTAGTCACTAGTAATCCTTTGCGAATAATACAAACGTCCAGTAATTCTTTGCTGCATAACAGGCCTTGTGCTCAAAAGGTTCTGCAGACCTTGCCTGGGTGCTCTGGCCAAGCTGCAGTCATCCCAGGGCTGGCTGGGGGCTGGGGGTTTGCCGGCATGCCTGCTGGTTGGTGCTGCTGCCAGTCCCAGCTACTCGGGAGGCGGAGGTACGGGGACGGCTTGGTCTCAGGAGGTTAAGGCCGCAGTGAGCCATGATCGTGCTATTGCACTCTGGCCTGGGCAACCAAGCAAGACTCTGTCTCAGAAAAAAAAAAAAAATAAGGGGGTGAGAGGGGCTATAAAGGCTCTGAGGTCCACGCTCTGGAGGCCCACAAAGTCTTTTCTGCATCATCTTGTTTGTCAGAGCAAGACCCAAGGGTGAGCCTAGATTCCTGAGCTGGGGAAACAGGCTCCACCTACTGGTGGTGAGAACTGTAGACAATCTGTGGTCGTTTTGAGTCCACTATAAGTAACCAAAATACCTTCAGTCTTGCTTGCATTTCTCAACATTAGTGAAAGGGGACCCAGTGCTTGGTTGTAGCAGGCGTCCTAAACTCTCCTTCTGACCTGCAGAGTTTTCATCTGCAGAATGTCCCCTCCTGGTGCACAGCATTCATGTCCCTTGTCCTCATCCCTGGTGGGTGCTCTCGCCGCCTCCTTTCTGATCCCATCCTCCTCCTTGTCCTACCAACCGTCTGTACTCACCCTGTGTATTTAGTTTATATAAATGTTAATGCCTGGCCAGCCGTGGTGGCTCACGCCTGTAATCCCAGCACTCTGGGAGGCTGAGGCGGGCGGATCACCTGAGGTCAGAAGTTCGAGACCAGCCTGGCCAACATGGTGAAACCCCGTTTCTACTAAAAATACAAAAAATTAGCTGGGCATGGTGGCGAGTGCCTGTAATCCCAACTACTCGGGAGACTGAGGCAGGAGAATTGCTTGAACCCTGGAGGCGGAGGTTGCGGTGAGCTGAGATCATACCATTGCACTCCAGCTTGGGCCACAAGAGTGAAACTCTGTCTCAAAAATAAAAAAATTAAAAATAAATGTTAACACCTGTAGTCCCAGTGCTTTGGGAGGTCAAGGCAGGAGGATCACTTTAGCACAGGAGGTCGAGGCTGCAGTGAGCTGGGATGGCGCTACTGCTCCTCAGCCCGGGCAACAGAGTGAGACTCGATCTCAAAAAAAAAAAAAAAAAAAAAGACCAGCGGGGGTGGTTCATGCCTGTAATCCCAGCATTTTGGGAGGCCAAGGTGAGTGGATCACTTGAGCCCAGGAGTTTGAGACCAGCCTGGTCAACATAGTGAGACTTCATTTCTACAAAAAAATAATCAGCCATGCTGTAGTCCCAGCTACTGGGGGTGCTGAGGTGGGAGGATTCCTTGAGCCCAGGATTTCAAGACCGCAGTGAGCTAGGATCAAGCCACTGAAGTTCAGCCTGGGTGACAGAGCAAGATCCTTTCTCTCTAACAAAAAATTAAAATTAAAAAATATTGGCCAGGTGTGGTGGCTCACGCCTGTAATCCCAGTAACTTTGGGAGGCTGAGGCAGGTGGATCATTCGAGGTCAGGAGTTCGAGACCAGCCTGACCAACATAATGAAACCCTATCTCTACTGAAAATACAAGGATTAGCCAGACGTGGTGGTGGGCGTCTGTAGTCCAGCTACTTGAGAGGCTGAGGCAGGAGAATCACTTGAACCACCACGCCCAACCTAATTTTTTTGTTGTTGTTGTTGTTAGTAGAGGCAGGGTTTCACCATGTTGGCCAGGCTCATCTTGAACTCCTGACCTCAAGTGATCCACCTGCCTCAGCCTCCCAAAGTGCTGGGATTACAGGTGTGAGCCACCGCGCCCGATCTGAAGACATTTTTGATTGGTTGATTGAGTTGGGGGTCTCACTGTTGCCCAGGCTGGAGTGTGGTGGCATGATTATAGCTCACTGCAGCCTTAAACTCCCAAGCCCAAGAGATCCTCCCAGCTCAGCCTTCTGAGTAACCGGGACTACAGGTGCACACCAGCACACCCAGCTCATTTTAAATTTTTTCTTTTTTTTTGAGATGGATCTTGCTCTGTCACCCAGGCTGGAGTGCAGTGGCGCAAGCTCCGCTCACTGCAAGCTCCGCCTCCCGGGTTTATGCCATTATCCAGCCTCAGCCTCCCGAGTAGCTGGGACTATAGGCACCCGCCACCACGCCCGGCTAATTTTTTGTATTTTTAGTAGAGACGGGGTTTCACCGTGTTAGCCAGGATGGCCTCGATCAGGAGATCGTCCATCTTGGCCTTCCAAAGTGCCGGGATTGCAGGCGTGAGCCACCGCGCCCGGCCCCGTAGTTTCTTACATGTTCACAAAGAGACAAACTTAAAAGAGCAAAGCATTACGAACTTTAAGAGGCCAGTGCAGGAGGATCACTTGTAGCTAGAATTTTGAGACCATCCAGGGCAACAAAGTGAGACTCTGTCCCTACAAAAAAAATTTTTTTTTTTTTTTTTTTTGAGACAGACTCTCGCTCTGTCGCCCAGGCTAGAGTGCAGTGGCGTGATCTTGGCTCATTGCAACCTCCGCCTCCCGGGTTCACGCCATTCTCCTGCCTCAGCCTCCCGGGTAGCTGGGATTACAGGCACTCGCGACCATGCCCAGCTAATTTTGTATTTTTAGTAGAAATGGGGTTTCACCGTGTTAGCCAGGATGGTCTTGATCTCCTGACCTCGTGATCTGCCCTCCTTTGCCTCCCAAAGTGCTGGGATTACAGGCATGAACCACCGTGGCCAGCCTCTTTTACTATTTTTTTTTTTTTTTTTTTAAGATGGAGGCTCACACTGTTGCCCAGGCTGGAGTGCGGTGGCACGATCTCGGCTCACTGCAACCTCCGCCTCCTGGTTTTATGCGATTCTCCTGCCTCAGCCTCCTGAGTAGCTGGGATTATAGGCCACCATGCCCAGCTAATTTTTTGTATTTTTAGTAGAGGTGGGGTTTTACCATGTTGGCCAGGCTGGTCTCAAACTCCAGACCTCAGGTGATCCACCCACCTTGGCCTCCCAAAGTGCTGGGATTACAGGTGTGAACCACTGTGCTTGGCCTTTACTACTACATTTTTTTTTTTTTTTGAGATGGAGCCTCCCTCTGTCACCAGGCTGGAGTGCAGTGGTGCAATCTCGGCTCACTGTAACCTCTGCCTCTCGGGTTCGATTCCCCTGCCTCGGCCTCCCGAGTAGCTGGGACTACAGGCAAGCACCACCATACCCGGCTAACTTTTTTTTTTGTATTTTTAGTAAAGACAAGATTTCACCATCTTGGCCAAGCTGGTCTTGAACTCCTGATCTCATGATCCACCCGCCTCGGCCTCCCAAAGTGCTGGGATTACAGGCGTGAGCCACCGTGCCCGGCCGTCTACTACTTCTTAAAGGGTGAGAGGCGGAAGGATCACTTGAGCCCTGAAGTGTGCGACTGCAGTTAGCTTTTATCGTACCACTGCACTCCAGCCAGGGTGACAGCAGGACCCTGACTCTAAAAAAAAAAAAAAAAAGCAAAAAAAAGCATATACTATTAATACTTCCTCCTTACTATAATGTTTACTGTGGCCTTTATCAGACTAGAGAGTGCTTTTATCTCTCCCTTTTGTTAGAGCTTTTAGAATTATCAATAGATGGTCAGGTGAGGTGGCTCAGGCCTGTAATCCCAGCACTTTGGGAGGCCGAGGTGGGTGGATCACGAGGTCAGGAGTTGAAGACCAGCTTGGCCAAGATGGTGAAACCCTGTCTCTACTAAAAATACAAAAAAATTAGCTGGGCGTGGTGGCGAGTGCCTGTAATGCCAGCTACTCTGGAGGCTGGGGCAGAGAATTGCTTGAACCCAGTAGGCGGAGGTTGCAGTGAGCCAAGATTGTGCCACTGCACTCCAGCCTGGGCAACAGAATGAGACTCTGTCTCAGAAAAAAAAAAAATTATTAATAGATGGTGACCCTCATCTTCATGTTTTCTGCATCTATTGAAGTGCGCCATTGAGATCGTGGAGTTCTTCCCTGTTTGTCCATATGGTGAACAACACTGATTTTCTGATGTTGAACAATCTCTGGAATAAACTCTGTTTGGTTTCCATGGATTTCTGTTTCCCTTTAGATTTTGTTAGTAATGTATTTTGGATTTTTGCATCCAAGTTCATAATTGTAACTGGACAAATAAAGGCAGATTTTAAAAGGACAAGTTGGGAGGCTAAGGCGGAAGGATCACTTGAGCCTGGGAGATTGAAGCTGCAGCTAGCCTCGATTGCTCCACTGTACTCCAGCCTGGTGACAGCAGGACCTGCCTCTAAAATAATAATACTTAAAAGGACGAGTTTACCTACAGTCTCACCAAGCAATGAAAGAGCTTATCTTCCTCCTGTTTCCTTTACGGATCTTGCTCATGTATTTTATCTTAGTTACTTTAGCATAAATGCTAAATCAAATTCTTTTTCACTAGACATCATCATAGCTCTAGGCATACCACATAATACCCAAGCACATTTTAATCATTAAAATTGTTTCCTTTTTTTGTGGCTACTGTAACCACTTCAGCGAACCATTTAGTGTGTAGTGGGTTTAAATTATTTTTTCTCCTTTCTGGGATAAATTTCCCAGGAGAAGGATAATTGGGTCAAAAGCTACGAACATATTTATGGGTTCTTTTCCACAAGAGATCGATCAGTTTGCAAGTGCCATCTGCAGTGTGGGGGAACCAATCTTCAACTTGCCTGCATTTGGTATTAGTATTTTATTAACCTTTCATTGATCCAATTACGGCTCTTTGACACAATTTTCATCAGTGATGGACTAAGTGTGATCCGGCCTGACCCGCCTCCGGCCGGCGTGAGAAGGGGCATGTGTCGGGCTACGCTCGGGCTTCCCCTGCCGCCCATTGTGATCCAGCCCGCTAGGCGCTCCCTGCCGCCCATTGTGACGCCTGCCAGCCGCAGGCTGGGTCCCCGAGGCGGGCGGCATTTAGGCTCGGTCTCCACAGCCATGGCCGCGACGCAGGAGCTGCTGCTGCAGTTGCAGAAGGATAACCGAGATGGTCGCCAGCGGAAGCAGGAGCTAGAGAAGCTGATGCGCGGGCTCGAGGCCGAGAGCGAGAGCCTCAACCAGCGCCTGCAGGACCTGAGCGAGCGGGAGCGGAGGTGCGCGGGGAACGCCGCTCTTCTACCTGGCGGGCGCGCGAGGGTCGGTCCCGCAGGCAGCGCCGCGAGGTGCTTCGCAGAGTACCAGGCTGATCCGCCCGGGCCCGCATCTCTGCTCTAGGCCCTTGGGAACGGGTGATCCACCCAGCGGACCCAGGTGGGGGACTCGGCCAGGACTTCCCAGTCCTCAATCATGAGCCTGCGGCTGGTCCTTCCTGGCGACTGCGGGATCCTGAGCGACCCAGTCCGCCTTGTAGCGCCAACCTCAGTTTCCCTCTGCAGCCTGCTGCGGAGGCGAAGCCAGGCAGCGCAGCCTCTGCAAGGGGAGGCGCGCGAGGCGGCGCGGGAGCGCGCGGAGCGGGTGCGCAGAAGACTGGAGGAGGCGGAGCGCCACAAGGAGGACTTGGTGAGGAAGAGTCCTAGAATGGGGCTGGACCCAGGGTGGGGTGAGGCAGGGCGGGCGGAAGGGGGCGGGATCCGGGGGTGGGGTGAGGTAGGACCGGCGGAGAGGTCGGCACCGCCCCAGGACCCCGTCCGCAGGAGCAGCACAGCAGGCAGCTGCAGGAGCAGTGGGAGGAGCTGTCGAGTCAGGTACGTGCAGGAGATGGGAGGGCCTGTCTCTTGGTTCCTCTCGGAAGTCCTGCCCTTGTCCTCGCCCTTGTTGTCTCCCCGTCCCTGTCTCCCCTGACACTCGTTCCTCCAGAAGCCCGGTAAACCCCGCCCTTACAAGCCCCGCCCCTAGCTCTTCTACGGAGGGGAACCGCAGAGCCAGAAGAGCACGGAGCAGCAACTCGCAGCCCAATTGGTGACGCTGCAGGTGCTTGAGCGGGACCCTGAGGTCTTTAGTAGGGGCGGAGCAGCAGCGTGAGCGGGGCCGTGACCACCTGGGGGTGTGGCTTAAGGCAGGCCCTGAAGGCGTGGGCGGGGCGGGGGATGTGGGCGGAGCACAATCGCATGGGGGCGGGGCTCTGAGGGCTAGAATAGGGGCGGAGCGCGGAGGGGGCGTGGCCATGACCAGTTGGGGCGTTGCTTACGACTGGTCCTGAGGACGCGGGCGGGGTCATGATCGCCTGGGGGCGGGCACTGAGGGCCGGGGGCGGGGCCCGGAGGCGCAGCGGGTTGCCGGCCTGCGGACCTCCTGACATTCCCTGGGTCCTTCTCAAGAATGAACTGGAGCTGGCGGAGACCAAATGCGCCTTGCAGGAGGAGAAGCTGCAGCAGGTGAGGGCAGAAGCGGGTTCTGTTGGAGGAGGGTAGGCTTTCGAGTGTGGATGGGGAAGGGCCTGTCGCCCCGACGCCGCCGAGTCTAACCCGGGTGTCCACACCCAGGACGCGCTGCAGACAGCGGAGGCCTGGGCCATATTCCAGGAGCAGACCGTAGTCCTGCAGGTGCGGCCCCACTCAGACGCCAAGGTGCCTCCCGCCTCTCCTCCCCCAGACCTGGGGCGGTAAGTCTCCCAACCCACCGCCAGGACGCCTCCCCGAGGCCTCAGTCCGCACTCTCACCCGCTCCAGGAGGTGCAGGTGAAGGTGATGGAGGCTGCGGAGGAGCTGGACGCCTGGCAGAGTGGCCGGGAACTGTAAGGGAGTTGGGCCTGCGGGCGCGGCGGGGCACTGTGGGGCCGGGCTGGGCTCCCACCTGCATGCCTGTCCCCGCAGGTGTGACGGGCAGCTTCGCGGAGTGCAGTACAGCACCGAGTCGCTCATGGAGGAGATGGCCAGGGCGGACCGAGTGAGCGCCTGCGCGGGTCCGGGCGGGGTGGGCTGGAGCGGGACAACCCTCCCCGTCCCCCCCGCGGTACCGCCTCCCCCTCCTCCTGGAAACCGGGCCGGCGCCGCGGGCGCGGAGGTAGCTGGATGCGGCCCTCTCTCCCCGCAGGAGACGCGGCTGTTCGGCGGCCCTCGCGCGCTGGCCATCAGGTGAGCCGGGCGGTGGGCGCGGCCGCGGTCCCCCACCTGCCCGCCTTTCGCCCCGCAGGCGGTGCGTGCTGGGCGCGCTGCAGGTGCTGCTGACGCTGCCGCTCCTCTTCCTGGGGCTGTCGCTGCTCTGGACGGTGCTGTTGGACCCCGGCGCCGTCTCCGCGTGGCTCTGGAGCCTCACCTCGGAGACGACGCTGCGCCGCCTGCGCTACACGCTGTCCCCGCTGCTGGAGCTGCGCGCTAACGGGCTGCTGCCAACCTAAGTGCAGCGCCCCGCGCCTGGCTCCAGGTGGACTCCAGGGCACCTGGCTTTATTTCTGGTGCACTCCTCTCCTGAGAGTGTAGACCAAGGTTGCCTAATAAACTCAAGGGATGAAGCTCGTGGGTTCGTCGTCTGTCTCCCATGTCATGTAGGAGCTTGACTGGCTTTTCAGCCTCCAAAGATTCCTTCCTTCCTTACAGCTCATGGATTTAGAGCCACTCCCCAGTATTGTAAACAGCATTTTTAGTTTTTCAGGATACATAATTTGCCATATTGCCAGAAACTTGTACATAGCATTTGACACTTTGCCAATCTGACAAGCTGCCTTTTCAAGTATTGTGATTTGAAATTATTTCTACTATATTTGAATTTATTTCTACCATTTGTAACATGTTGATCCTGATTTTTCAATGCTCCCCTTTCCTTCTGTTTATTTGGGAAGTCACACTCTGTATTCTGGTATTCTTACTACTTGAGCTCAGCTCATCGCTGTCATCTTCCCCTAAACCGCCTTAAAGCATCTTAGGTCTTTTCCCTCTGATCACATGTGCTACTTTTTTTTTTCTTTTCTTTGGAGACGGAGTCTTGCTCTGCGCCCAGGATGGAGTGCAGTGGCATGATCTCGGCTCACTGCAAGCTCTGCCTCCCGGGTTCCAGCGATTCTCCTGCCTCAGCCTCCCAAGTAGCTGGGACTTCAGACGCCCGCCATCATGCCCGTTTAATTTTTTGTATTTTTTGTAGAGACAGAGTTTCACTGTGTTAGCCAGGATGGTCTCGATCTCCTGACCTCGTGATCCGCCCACCTTGGCCTCCCCAAAGTGCTGGGATTACAGGCATGAGCCACCGTGCCTGGCCAACATTTTCTCCAGATATCTTACTGAGTCCTAATTTCCACTGTGGCCAGAGAATACACTCTGCATGATTTTAATTCTATCTCATTTACTGAGACTTGTTTTGTGGCCCAGCACAAAGCTTGTAATGAACACTGAGAAGAAAGTGTATTGTTGCTGTTGACAGAGTGATTTTTTTTTTTTGAGACGGAGTCTCGCTCTGTCGCCAGGCTGGAGTACAGTGGTGTGCAATCTCGGCTCACTCCAACCTCCACCTACTAGGTTCAAGTGATTGTCCTGCCTCAGCCTCCTGAGTAGCTGGGACTACAGATGCATTCCACCATGCCCAGCTAATTTTTGTATTTTTAGCAGAGACAGGGTTTCACCGTGTTGGCCAGGATGGTCTTGATCTCTTGACATTGTGATCCGCCTGGCTTGGCCTCCCGAAGTGCTGGGATTACAGGCATGAGCCACCGTGCCAGGCCGACAGAGTGTGTTCTAAATACCCAGCAGGTCCAGGTGAGTGACAGGCTTGTTCAGGGCTCCTGTGTTTACTTTCTTGTTGGTAGCGCCGTCAATTGCTTATTGTGAAATGCCCCTTCATAAACACCCATACACATTTTGATTATGGATGGCCAGTCTTTTTTCTATCTGTTATTTTCATCTTACATCTGTCTTCATATGTAAAGTGCTTTGGTTATAATCAGCACATAACTGGGTCTCACTTCTTCAATTCATGTTTGTAATCCCTGACTTTTAAATTGGGCTGGTAAGTCTATTATGTTTCTCCTTTTCTGCCTTCTTTTGGATTAGTATCTTTTAAAACTCCTTTTAACTTATACGCTGACTCATATTTTTTATTAAGACAGTCTCACTCTGTCATCCAGTGTGGAGTGCAATGGTGTGATCTTGGCTCACTGCAACCTCCACCTCCCGGGCTCAAGCGATCCACCTCAGCTTCCTGAGTAGCTGGGACTACGGGCTTGTGCCACCATGCCCGGATAATTGTTGTATTTTTTGTAGAGATGGGGTCTTGCCATGTTGCTCAGGCTGTTTTCAAACTGCTGGACTCCAGCAATCCACCCACCTCAGCCTCCGAAAGTGCTGGGATTACACATGTGAGCCACTGTGCCCAGCCTATATTTTTATTTGTACTGCTCAGGACTCAACTGTGCTTCCTAAAGCTGAATATTTGTGTTTTTCAACTCTGGAAATCCCATTAGAAGTTGATTGGGGCCGGGCACGGTGGCTCCAATCTCAGCACTTTGGGAGGCCGAGGCGAGCAGATCACCTGAAGCCAGGAGTTCAAGATCAGCCTGGCCAACATGACGAAACCCCTTCTCTTCTAAAAGTACAAAAATTAATTAGCTGGGTGTGGTGGCGTGCAGCTGAAATCCCAGCTACTTAGGAGGCTGAGGTAGGAGAATTGCTTGAACCTGGGAGACAGGTTGCAGTGAGCAGAGATCACGCCACTGCACTCCAGCCTGGGCGACAGAGTGAGACTCCGACTAAAAAAAAAAGAAAAAGTTGACTGGAGCTTTTCATTCAACTCTTCTTTTTTTTTTTTTTTTTGACCGTTACCCAGGCTGGACTGCAGTGGTACCATCATAGCTCACTGGAGTCTTGCTCTTCGGCTCCAGTGATCCTATCTTTCTTACCCTCCTGAGTAGCTGGGACTACAGGCATGCACCACCATGTGGCTAATTTTAAATTTTTTTGTAGAGACAGGGTCTTCCCGTGTTGCTTATGCTGGTGTTGAACTCCTGGACTCAAGCAATCCTCCTGCTTTGGCCTGCTGAAGTGCTGGGATTAGGAGCCACCCCGCTTGGCTTTCCTTTCCTTCACACTGCATGTTTGGTCATTTCACTATTCTGATCACTGATTTTCTCTTCTTACCTGCTGCTGTTTAGCTGATCTTTTGGAGTTTCTCTTTTGTTTCAGGTCTTTATTCCTATCTGCTTCAGATGCAGGGCCTCGGTGGGTGGGAGTAGATGCTTGCTGGGTCTAGTCACACAAAGATTTTGGAGTTCCAGAGCACAGCACTTGAAAACAAGCAAGAGGGAAAGACTAGAGCAGTGGGAAGATGCTGCGGAGAGCCACAGACAGGCCCCCACGGCAGCCCTGAGGGAGACAGTTTTGGAGCGGGCAGACAGCAGTCAGGACAAACACAATGTGTGTTTTGGTGCACCTATGCCGTGGTGAGATTATGGGAATCTCATGTTTGTTAAGCCACAACCCGTGCTCCTGGGCCCCAGCCTATGAGTGCAGCCAACACTGGGCCCCCCTCTCTAGGGGCAAATCCAGGAACTGCCCTTTGGCTGAAGGTGGACTTAGGACTTGACACAAAACCTCACAGATTCCAACACAGCACTATTTTGGGTTTTTATTTTGTTGATGTTGGTTAAATCTTATCTCTTTTTTTATACACAATACTTCATGTACCTATGAAATAAAACAGGTAGGGAATATGTCCAGTGCAAACAGAGGACTCACACCTGTGCATAGACAGCACCATCCACTGATTGTCGCTGCAGTCCACGGCGTTACTAAGCCTGCGCCACCCACGTGCTGCCCCAGGAGGCGCTACCAGGCTCTTCGGGCCACAGGCCTCTCCTCCACTGCATGTGGCGGCAGGGCGGGTAGGTCGCAGGGCTCCATGATTGTGGGGCAGCTTCAAGGGCACATGGGGCAGAGGCCCTCGAAGGTCCCCTCCTCAGTAGGGGATGTCATTCTGATAGTACTGGATCATGTTGTAGGTCCGGCTCCTGAAAGGCCAAGAAGAGTGAAGGGAGATTCGAGGAGCCAGCAGGGTCTGGGGTCCCTCCCTGCAGGGAGCCCTACCTGTCCAATCAGCCCCTTATGGCTGCCCAGCACCTGAAGGTACAAATGTCCCAGGCGTGCCCTCCCCCACCCAGTGACCACATCTGCTCCAACCCGGGGGACTCTGAGGCCACCTCATGCTCCTCAGCCAAACCGCTTCCATCCGTGGGAGCCACTGCTCTGCCCCATGGGCCTCGGGCCCCTTGGCTCGTCCTGGCCAGATGCCTCCAAGGGGTCTGTACGCTCTCCTCGCACCTCTGGAGAGCCCCTTCTCGCCCTGCCCCAGCCCCTCTTGAGGTCCTGGCCGCCTGGCTTCTCTGCTTCCTATCAGCAAGAGCTCCTTCCGTGCCCAGCCTCCACAGTGCCCTTGTTAGGGTGACGGACCTGGGCGCCACCTGGGGGCAGGTCTCAGCTTCCTCTCACGCTCCTCCGGCAGTTCCCCATGCAGATGGCCACACCTGGGCCCCTCCTCCTAGTCTGGATGTGGTCTGTCCCATGGCACAGCCTTGGGCTCCCACATGCCCCTCAGGGCCTTACCAACCCCACATGTTTAAGTGCTGCCCCCTTCGGGGATGGCTCACTTGCTGGGATCGCCATCCTCCCTTTGTTCAGGCCGGACCCCTCAAAGCCACCTCTGACTCCCACAGCAGGGAGCCTGTCAGCCCGGTGCTCTGCCTTCAGACCCTGAGCCAGCCCTCCCCAGGGCCCCCTGCACCCATCTCCTCCCACCACAGTAGTGACCAGCAGCCCGGCCTGCACCTCCAGTCACTGCCCACGAAGCAGCCCGAGGCAGGCGCAGGGAAGGAGTGGGCTCTGACTCCTCAGCCCTCCTGGGAGGAGGGAGGCCTGACACCACACTCAGTTCTAATACTCCTGGCCTTGTGTCCCTATTGCTCCTTCGGCCTCACGAGCCCTGCCCAGGTGGGCCCGGCCTCTGCCAAGTGTTCCCCTCGGCACACCACAGCCCCCTAAACCAGCACCCCACTGCTCCTCAAGAGTTCCTGTCAAGACTTGGGTCTTCATGAGAGGGGCGGCTTGGGGACAGCAGAATCCTCATCGCCTGGTGCAGGCAAGGCCCTGCAGGTGCCCAGTGGCCACCGAGGCAGTGGGAGAAGGCAGGGGGGCGGGGCACTCACCTGTTGCTGAGGAAGCAGCTCTGGATGACCTTCATGATGAAATTTGCAGCCTCGCGCTCAGTCATGTTGGGGCTAAACCTGTGCCTGGAGAAGAGGCTGTGTCAGGGCTGCCATGGGCAGGGCCGTGCTGGCTCCCTGGCCCAGTGGGAGGAGGGTCTTCCATGGGGACGGACTTCAGCTGAGAGCCATGCCCTGGAAATGTACCTTTGGGGTCCACATGTTGGAAGATGGGGTGCTGTGAAGGCCACACCTGGCCTATCATGGGCCCTGTCCCCTTCCCAGCATCACCTGAGTGGCCCCATGGCATTAGGGGACTAAGCATTGGGGAGCTAAGCTACTGCAGCCCCAGACCTTAGGGTGGAGGTGGGGTGGGCGTAGCATCCTTGACATAAATAGAGGCCCCTGGGTGGGTCTCTGGTGTGGCCGGCACAAGCAGGGGCCCCTCACAGTTGTGGTCTAGGGGTAGAGCCTCACCTAGGAACCCTGTCTGCTCTGAGGTTCCAAGGAGATGACAACCACAGTGACAATTACATGAAAGGTACCTATCTTGGATGGAGCCTCAGCTAATGGACAACTGTCCCCCAGATGGCCTGCGTGTCCACCAAGGAACCTACTTCAAGAACTTGATTGTCTGGCCGCGAAAACAGGGCAGGCCCGTGTCCAACATGATAGTGACCAGGGAGACGACCACATCCATGTAGGGCCTGGGGAGAGACAGGAGGGAGCGGTGGGCAGAGGCCAGCCTAGGTGGTGGCCCTGCCTGTAGTCCTGTGGACTGGCTGATGCCAACAGCCTCAGGTGTGGGCTCCTGCCACCCACCTCGCCTGCCACATCTTGCACATCCCCGAGGCAACTTTCGATCTGCTGCACTCGGTCACCCGTACTGCCCAGGCAAGGGCTGCCCATACGCACTCTGGACAGGCTGAGTGTCCTGCCCTGTCCCCCACATAAGGCTGCCGGCCATGGCTTCTGCACCTGGGTGGGATGCAGACACGCTGACCTGCCTTTCTCTGCGGGGCAGTGGGGATGAACCCAGGTTGGACTGTGGCCTTGGCCAAGTGACCTGTATATGAAACTGGGACAAAGCCCATCTTTGGCACGTAGCCTGTGGGGTGGCAGGTGCTCAGGCTTTGGTGACAGGGTGGATGGGATGCCCAGAAAGGGAGAGCCCATGGCTGAAGGCGTGGGCAGGATTGTGGGGAAGGTGGTTGGAATTAGATGCCCAGAGCAAGAATTTACTGGCACAGGTGGGCAGACAGAGGTGACCAAAGGACAGGTGTAGGTCAGCAGGTGGCTGCTAGCACCTACCTCACTCTCTGGAACCGGATTCCCTTCATCCTAAAGGGGATCTCAGAACGTTCCACACACCCCCTCCGCCTCCACCCTGGTCCTCACCCAGGCTCACCGCACAGCCAGGTAGCCTGGACACACATCTCCATGAACCACTTGAAGGGTGTGGCCTCCATCTTGCCCCCCATGATCATCACCATCTCATCCGTCAGCTTGATGTCGGGTTCCCAGCCGAGATTGCCGCCCGGCGAGCTTTCAAACATGAAGCCAAAGTCTGCAAAACCCCAAAGAGCTGCCTGTGACTGGGTAGGAGCCAGGGCGGGCAAGGACGAGTGGTCTGTTTTGAGGAGTGGAAAAGGACTCTGCAACAGGAGCACCCCCTCCACCCCCAAAAGGCAGGTTGTGTTTTCTTGGAGACAGTGATGGGGTGGGTGGTGGGGCAGCAGGCAGAGAAAGAGAAGGGAGGAAGTGGAGGAAGGAGCCAAGCTGGGGCACTGAACCTGGACGAGCCCCACTCCGCCCAGCTCCAGCTTCTGACTCAGAGCAATGGCGGCTCTCGCCCCAGCTCCCTGGGGCCGGGGCCAGGCACCCTCTACAGCAGAACAGCTTGGTGGCCGACAGTTCGGACCTCAGAGCTGGACCCTGACACTCCTGGCAGGGTGGTCCTGGGCATTCTCCTCTCTGTGGGGTGGGGATCCCTATCCACCCCTGGGTGCCGGGGTGAAGGGAGAGGAGGGTGGCGCTGTGGCTGGCTGACCGATGTGGATGATATGGCCCTTCTTGTCCAGCATAATGTTGCCGTTGTGTCTGTCCTTGATCTGCAGCAGGAACAGCAGGAGGCTGTAGGCGGCCATGCTTCGGATGAAGTTGTAGCAGGCCTGTGCAGAGAGCGCCCTGGGCTCAAAAAGGCCCTGGGGCCTGTGGGCATTCTCCCTGGTCCCACACCCAGGATCCCTGGGCCTGTGGGCACTCTCCCTGGCTCTGTGCCCCCACTATGGAGGCAGAGCCCGAATCAGCAAGTCAGTCTTCGGCAGCAGGAGTGACGGGCTGTCTGGATGTGGGGGTGCAGGCACTTCCTCCCACACTCAGAACTTAACTTTCTTCTAAGGAGTCCAGCCCAGCTCTACATTCTTTTGACTCCCAAAGTGGCTTACAGATGCCCTGGTGTTTTTTTTTTTAAATGGAGTCTCGCTCTGTCGCCAGGCTGGAGTGCAGTGGCATGATCTTGGCTCACTGCAACCTCTGCCTCCTGGGTTCAAGAGATTCTCCTGCCTCAGCCTCCCGAGTAGCTGGGACTACAGGTGCCCACCACCATGCCCAGTTAATTTTTTTACTTTTAGTAGAGATGGGGTTTCACCATGTTGGTCGGGATGGTCTCGATCTCTTGACCTCATGATCTGCCCGCCTTGGCCTCCCAAAGTGCTGGCATTACAGGCGTGAGCACTGCGCCCGGCCAGGTGCCCTGGTTTTTTTTTTTTTTTTTTTTTTCAGATGGAGTCTCACTCTGTTGCCCAGGCTGGAGTGCAGTGGTGCAATCTCGGCTCACAGCAACCTCTGCCTCCTGGGTTCAAGCGATTCTCCTGCCTCAGCTTCCTGAGTAGCTGGGACTGCAGGCGCGTGCCACTATGCCCAGCTAATTTTTGTATTTTTAGTAGAGACAGCGTTCACCATTTTGGCCAGGATGGTTTTGATCTCTTGACCTCGTGATCTGCCCGCCTCGGCCTCCCAAAGTGCTAGGATTACAGGCGTGAGCCACCGTGCCCAGCCCAGGTGCCCTGGTTTTAACCCTTAACAAAGGATGACTGAGGAGAGCAGGGTGTGGGTAGAGGCTGGGTATGGGTGGCTGGGGTAGGGTGGAGCGCACACGACTTTCCCCGGCCTGTGGCCACCCTGGCTACCTGCTGGAAGGCCAGAGTGGACTCATCCCCGTACTGGCGTGTGAAGTAGTCGTACATGCCAAAGTCTGTCTGGCGGCCCAGCTGGTCCCGGGAGGTGCAGTCGGGGATGCACTCGATCACCCCGCACTAGGAGGAAAGGCCAGTTCTGAGGCCCGCCGGGTGCGAGGTGCCCAGGGCTGCCCTACTGGCTCCACTCAGGGAACTTACCCCAGGGGCAGTGGCCACCACGCGGTAGGGAAAAACAAAGAGGTCCAGGCCGACCAGCTGGAAGATGTTCTTGAAGAGGTCGATGATCTGCAGGGCCAGCATGTCCTGGGAAGCCGGGAGGCGCAGGATGCGGTCAGTTGGCGTCCTTGCACCCCAGTAGCTCTTCTGGCTCATGCAGGGCAAAAGCCGAGAACCCAGAGATGGAGTGAGGTGGGGAGACCACAGCCGAGCAAGAGTCTGGAAGGCCTTCCTTTCTGACCACCGGGGGCTGGACTCAGGCTGCTGGGACCACCAGGCCCTGGGCTGAGCATGAGGCTGAGCTGTCTGGTGGGGTGTGTGAGATAAGGCACCCAACCCCTGGACAGTTCCCTCAGGTGGGCACTGGCATGGCAGGGACAGTGGGAAAGGGGCTGGAAGGAGAGGCCTCTGGGTTTTGCAGAAGCCCTAATTTACCCCGTGGCACCTGAACCATGTAAGAGAAGGAAAAGATTCACATTTCTGCATATGAGATTGGACTCTGGTGGGCCTGGAGCCTTGGGGAGCAGCAAGCCCAGTCCCCAAGCCTACTTGAGGCCTGACCCTGCTTACCTGCCGGCAGTCGTCTCCCAGTTTGAAGATGGCTGCCTGCCAGGAGATCTTCTGGCCGTCGGCCTCCTGCGTGCTGCACTCATCCTCAGAGTCTGAGCGGCACCGCAGACCTGCCCGCAGGGAGAGAGGCCACTGTTAGCCTGTAGGCAGTGAGAAGCCCTCTGAGGGGGCCAGGGATGAGTCCTCTCACATGCCTGAAAGGAACCCCAGCAATCTTGGGGATCACTTCTTCAAAACCCCAAGGAGGCCAAGGAGGAGCCCAGCAGGGCCCAAGGAAAGCCTTGGAACAGCAGGTGGAATCCAGGGTTGGAGTCTAAGAACATTTAGGCTTAAATGGAACTAAAAACAGAGCCCCATTTCATCTGCAGTGAAGACCCAGGTGTGCCTGAGTCAGTGTTGGGTGCTGTGAGCTGGGGGGCAGGAGGAATGTGTCTGTACACTGGGGTCCTGGGAGGGCTCGGGGCCAGTGTGCAGACATGGCCATGGGAGGCAGGTCCCTGCAAGGGGTGGCAGCCCCCTCTCCACAGCTGGCCACACCGTCTGTACTGGGTTGAAGAGTGTCTCCCTAAAATTCATGTTCACCCCAAACCTTAGAATGTGTCCTTATTTGGAAACAGGGTCTTTGCAGATGTAATTAGGTTAAGACAAGGTCACAGTGGATTAGGACAGTCCCTAATCCAATGACTGATGTCCTTCAAGGGAGATCATCATGTGAAGAGGGAGGCGGAGATGGGAGTGGAGCATCTGCAGGCCAAGGTGAGCCCAGGACTGCTGGCAACACCACCAGAAG
Source organism: Homo sapiens (assembly GCF_000001405.40). Classification (NCBI taxonomy): domain Eukaryota; kingdom Metazoa; phylum Chordata; class Mammalia; order Primates; family Hominidae; genus Homo; species Homo sapiens. Next base: position 18,540,018 of record NC_000022.11, read on the forward strand.
CTGAGGAGGCAAGGTGTGACCTGCCCAGAGCCTTCAGAGGGGGCACGACCCTGATGATGGACTCCAGCCTCCAGAACTGAGATCGTCCGTACAGTAGCCCCAGGAAACTAACACCCCCCAACGGCCCCGGGCCCCTCAGCCTCAGGAAGGAGCCTGCTGGAGCATGCCAGCTGACTCATGGCAGACAGACCTCTGGGGTGGCACATCTGTCAGTGCATTTGAGCTCCCTGCCATCCCCTAGCGAGGGGTCTGACTGAGGGCAGACAGATGGACAGACATCATCTTTTATGGAGAGCTGTACTAAATTTAACACATGCCAGAAGAAACTGGCATTAGCAAGGAAAAGCACTGAGCTCCCAAACAAAATCAGGGTTCTTTACTGACCTTCTTTTTCAAGTTCACTAACTCCACATCGCTTCACCTTGAACTTGGCCAGATATGGGGCTTTTGCAGCACTGAAAACAACAAAAAGAATGTGGCACCCATGATGCAGCCGAGAAAAACTTCACACGCGGACGCTGTGGAAGCGGGGGATGGGTAGGGTGAGGCGCTCACCTCTACATCGGGGTCCCAGACTTGTAGTCGACGTCCAGCACAATGGCTTCAGGGTTGCTGGGCAGGGAGCAGCCTGTGCAGGGACAGAGGCAGTCACAGGGAGTGCATGTGTCACCACAGGTGAGCCAGAGTCAGTTTCCAACACGGATGTTACGTGCGTGTCCACCCTGCAGGCACACCCCACCCCTGTGGAGGGGCCTCTGGTCCTTGTCCAGGGCACCACTAACTTATTATTCTGTGGCCGCTAAGGGTCCGTCCTCCTTGACTCTTCGACTCTTCCAACCATCGACCAAATGAGTCTGCACCTTCTGGGAAATGCTCTTCCTAGAGGAGCACTGAGCCCCATCCTCACGGATACAGCCCTACTGCTTCTGGGGGTGTGTGTGAGGCCTGTCCTGCCTCCACCTGCCTGAGCAACAGCCTCTGAACAGCCCTCCATTCTTGGAGTCCCTGTTTTTTTTTTTTTTTTTTTTTTTTTGGATAGAGTCTCACTCTATCACCCAGGCTGGAGTGCAGTGGTGCGATCTTGGCTCACTGCAACCTCCGCCTCCCAGGTTCAAGCAATTCTTCTGCCTCAGCCTCCTGAGTAGCTGGGATTATAGGTGCCTGCCACCATGCCTGGCTAATTTTTATATTTTTAGTAGAGATGGAGTTTCGCCATGTTGGCCAGGCTGGTCTCAAACTCCTGACCTCAAGTGATCCACCCGTCTTGGTCTCCCAAGTGCTGGGATTACAGGTGTGAGCCACCACGCCCGGCCTTCCTTACCCATTTGAACACTACTCTCTCAAAAGCCTTACTTAAATGTCACTATGTCCATGAACTGTCCTTGGTTCTCCCAGCCTTTAGGACTTTTGTCTAACACGTTTCTTTTTTTCTTTTTCTTTTTGAGACGGAGTCCTACTCTGTCGCCCAGGCTGGAGTGCAGTGGCTCGGTCTCGGCTCACTGCAACCTACGCCTCCCAGGTTCAAGCGATTCTCCTGCCTCAGCCTCCCGAGTAGCTGGAATTACAGGCGCCCGCCACCGCGCCTGGCTAATTTGTGTACTTTTAGTTGAGATGGGGTTTCACCAAGTTGGCCAGGCTGGTCTGGAACTCCTTACCTCAGGTGATCCACCCGCCTTGGCCTCCCAAAGTGCTGGGATTAAGGCATGAGCCACCGTGCCAGGCCAACATTGTTTCTTTATGCTTATTTTATATCTCTGTGAGTTCAAGCTTCTTCAGCTCAGGGACCATGTCTTACTCATCTTTTTAACAGCCACAATACCCAATGTCATGCCTTTTCTTTTCTTGTTTTTGCTTTTTTGAGACAGAGTCTCACTCTGTCACCCAGGCTGGAGTTCAGTGGTGCGATCTCGGCTCACTGCAACCTCCACCTCCTGGGTTCAAGTGATTCTTGTTCTCAGCCTCCCAAGTAGCTGGGATTACAGGCACGCGTCACCATGCCTGGTTAATTTTTTTTTTTTGAGACCGAGTGTCGCACTGTCATCCAGGCTGGAGTGCAGTGGCGCAATCTTGGCTCACTGCAAGCTCTGCCTCCCGGGTTCACGCCATTCTCCTGCCTCAGCCTCTCGAGTAGCTGGGACTACAGGCGCCCGCCACCACACCCGGCTGATTTTTTGTATTTTTGGTAGAGACGGGGTTTCACCGTGTTAGCCAGGATGGTCTTGATCTCCTGACCTCAGGTGATCCACCTGCCTTGACCTCCCAAAGTGCTGGGATTACAGGCATGAGCCACCGCGCCCGGCCCAGGCTCCCCTTTCTCAGTGAGTGCTCAGTAAATGTGTGAAATAAGAGGACAAGGGAAAGCCTGTTTCTGGCCAAGGAACTGCCAGTCCCCAAGGGGGATGTGTGCTCCTTGAGCCCTGAGAGGTGGGCTTTGAGGGGAGCCAAGCTTGGCCTTGCTGTGGGGTACAGGGAGAGGGGGGCATGCCATCTCCTCCTCTTCCTCACCTGCCCTTCTGCCTGCTCCAGGCTGTGGCTCACACTCAGGCCCCTCTGTGCTCTCCTGCTAGAGCCCTGCTGGCTTCCCTGACCTCTGGGGCAAGACTCAGCCAACACAATCTAGAGCCAGGGGCTGGGGACTTCTGTGCATGCCCCCTGCAGTACAATGCTTCCAGCTCTTTTTGCCCCTCCCCAGCAGTTGTGGCCTTCCCAATGCGGGAACAGAGGCCCTGCATACATGTCCTGCCCTCTCTGGGAAGCCGTGCTGTTGTGTGAGCTCAATACAATGTGTTGGGAAGAAATGGTTAAACCGGGGTCCTGCAGGGCACTCAAGGACCAGCCGCTGTGAACATCTGCACGGGACAGACAGAGTTTGGAAGACAAGTTTGTGCCAATAGTTAGAAATGCAGAGAGAGGCCGGGCACAGTGGCTCATGCCTGTAATCCTAGCACTTTGGGAGGCCGAGGCGAGAGGATCACAAGGTCAGGAGATTGAGGCCATCCTGGCTAACACGGTGAAACCCTGACTCTACTAAAAATACAAAAAAATTAGCCGGGTGTGGTGGCGGGCGCCTGTAGTCCCAGCTACTCGGGAGGCTGAGGCGACAGAGCAAGACTCCATCGCAAAAAAAAAAAAAAAGAAATGGAGAGAGAGCTGCCCAGTGAAGTCTGGATTTCCATCTTCTCTTGAAAAGCTCGGCTTGAATTCCCATGTGGCCACAGCCACAGGCACCCAGGAGCGACTTCCCATGGAGGCGGTGAGGGGGTGGTGCTGATGGGTCCCAGCACACCTGAGCCCTCCCACACTGGGCCCGCCATCCCCTTGTCTGTGTGACCTGCTCCTGTAATGCTGGAGCCTAGGAACCCTCTTCTAGAGTAACAGCTACTGAGGTCAGTGTGAGCCTCCAGAAAAACAGCAGGCAGCAAGGAAGATGAAGGGCACCCACTGACGAGCAGCTCCCGCTCACTAGCGGCAGATTTTGGGGAGGGGCTGGGGTCCTGGGGCACCAGGCACCGTGGGCCCAAGCAGGTGTGGGGCTGGCCAAGCCACTGTGTCCACATCCTGCAGTGCCTGGAGAGGGCAGCAGCCTTCACGCCCCGCCGCCCGCCTGCAGGAAGAGGTTGGTCTGAGCCTCCAGAAGCCACCTGCTCACCTGGCTGCACCGTCACTTCAGACAGGGCCGACAGACAAGCCTTCTTTCTCTGGTCGCCTTTAGGGTAGGGCCTGAGAAACAGGAAAGAAATTCTTGCTTTGTCTCCTGGAGGAACTGGCTACTGGGGGACAGCCCAGGGCCCCTCCTGCCTGGATTGCCCTCTCTGTCCCTCTCTTCCCGGCTCTAGCTGCTCCTAGCGCAGCCAGGCACCACTGGCAGCGATTCTTGCCCTGCATTCCTCATGGAGAATCCCCGACAGCCCCGGAAGGGCTGTTTTCTGGCAGGCTCTGCCCCTGCTGTGTGCGGGGGTGTGTGGCTGGGGGTGGTGGGGGTAATAATGCCTGCCACCTGCTGCCACCCAGGAAACGCTAGCTCCCGTCCTTCATCTCTTGGGTTAGAAGCTGCCAGCACTGCTATTCTCAGCACCCAGCCCAGAAAAGGGCCTCAAAGTGACCAAGGTCAGAGCAGTGTACGCAATGGAGACAGCCCAGCCGGCGTGCCCAGCATTGATGACTCCAGGGTTTCATCCCTTATGAATGCACAAAGCCACCAACATCCAAGGATGGTGTCAGGTCCACATGAATGGAAGGTCTAGGAAAACGATGACAGGAGCTGCAAAGGCAGTCTGGTTTTCCTGACACCAAGAGGATCGATCCTTCAGAGTGTGGAGAGGGCAGGGTGACCTCAAATTGTGGAGCCATGTGCTAAATTCCACAAATCTCAGGAATGAAACTAAGCTGTGTTTCCTGAAACTGGCGTGGCCGTGCATTCTGCCATACCTTCAAGAGCCCTGACTCACCCCAAGCAGTGCTTCCCCACCCACCCTGGCTGTCCATCAGAACCACCAGCAGCCCCGCTGCTAGAGACTCTCATTCATCTGGTTGGGGCCACGCACGGGTATTTTTAAAGCTTCCCAGGCAATTCTGTTAAGCTGCAGGGACTGGAACAAGATTCCAGAAGGTGGTTTCCGAAGCACTGCACTTACTTGATGACAGCCGACACGTTGGTGATCTTGTTAAAGAAATCAAACTCCCGCTGGTAAAAGTCCTTCGCTGGGCCCGACAAGGAGCCTGTGTTCTCCTCTACTAACTGCTCCCGGAGGTCGCCGATGTCAGCTGCCAAGGAAACAAAGAGGCTGAGTCTCTGTGGCTGTGGCAGAGGCCCCTCAGGAATACCAGCCCTGTTTCCCAGGCCCCAGACTGGCGGTGCCCAGAGTATGCTCTGCAGGCTTGGTGAGACCATAACAGCTGCTGTGTGCCCCTTTTGCTGTGTTGACACAGCCGACACTGCTGGGAAGCTAAGCTGGTGCCTAAGCGGAGCTCAAGGTAGGGGCCAAGCGCACAAGTGGACGTGGAATCCTCACTGCTGCACACGCTACACACGCAGGAAGAAAAAAGCCCGTGTCATTTATGAATGTCACAGGGCATAGAATCCTCACTGCTGCACACGCAGGGAGAAAAAAGCCCGTGTCATTTATGAATGTCACAGGTGAAGCAATGAAAACTAATTCTTATTAAACTCTACCCTGAATACATGTCTTTTTTTTTTTTTTTAATAGAGGCACACAGTGGGCGGGGCTCTATATTAAATAGTGTCTCTCACTATTCAAATCCCAGGCTGAATTTAAATTCCTGGGCTCAAGAGATCCTCCTGTCTCAGTCACCTGAGTTGCTGGGACTACAGCTAGTAGGTGGGACTACAGGTGCGCATCACCACATCTGGCTTTTAAAGTATCCTTTGTGATGAAACGGGATGTGCACGAAGCACTCTTGCCGCATCTAAGGCAGGCGCTGTCCTGAGAAGCACCTGGAGCTTGTCTGATTTTGGAGCCTGGACTAACCTTTTTCACAGACCTTTGTTTTTACTTGAAGAAATGACTGACAGACAACATATAGCTATTCAGACTTAGGGATGTGGCAGATGTTTTCCTGAAAATGAACAAAAAATAAATCTTCCACTCAAAGGAACTGAAACATTTTTTTGGAAAACTTGGATCTGCTGCTGTGAGCTCAATAGCTTCCCTTAAAAACTCTTTCTGGGCCGGGCGCGGTGGCTCATGCCTGTAATCTCAGCACTTCAGGAGGCTGAGGCGGGCGGATCAGAAGGTCTCAGCCAGGCAATGTGGCCCACACCTGTAATCCCAGCACTTTAGGAGGCCGAGGTGGGCGGATCAGAAGGTCTCAGCCAGGCAATGTGGCCCACACCTGTAATCCCAGCACTTTAGGAGGCTGAGGCGGGCGGATCAGAAGGTCAGGAGTTTGAGACCAGCCTGGCCAACATGGTGAAGCCCCGTCTCTACTAAAAAATAAAAAAATTGGCCGGGCACGGTGGCTCATGCCTGTAATCCTGGCAATTTGGGAGGCTGAGGTGGGCGGATCACGAGGTCAGGAGATTGAGACCATCCTGGCTAACACAGTGAAACCCCATCTCTACTAAAAATACAAAAAATTAGCCGGGTGTGGTAGCGAGCGCCTGTAGTCTCAGCTACTCGGGAGGCTGAAGCAGGAGAATGGTGTGAACCCGGGAGGCGGAGCTTGCAGTGAGCGGAGACTGCGCCACTGCATTCCAGCCTGGGCGACAGAGCGAGACTCCGTCTCAAAAAAAAAAAATTTAAAAAAAAGTCCGGGTGCGGTGGCTCACGCCTGTAATACCAGCACTTTGGGAGGCCAAGGCGGGCGGATCACGAGGTCAGGAGGTCGAGACCATCCTGGCTAACACGGTGAAACCCCGTCTCTACTAAAAAAATACAAAAAATTAGGCGGGCGTGGTGGCGGGCGCCTGTAGTCCCAGCTACTTGGGAGGCTGAGGCAGGAGAATGGCATGTACCCGGGAGGCAGAGGTTGCAGTGAGCCGAGATTGTGCCACTGCACTCCAGCCTGGGCGACAGAGTGAGACTGTCTCTCAAAAAAAAAAGAAAGCCCTCTCTCGTCTCTCAGTCTGTGCTTAGTAATCAGCTAGGCGCTGAGAGAACAGGGCATGGCCTCCTTACAGAGGTTTGCTGCTTCTTTGCGTGGCATGTTTTCATTTGGCATTCCCTTCCCTGGAATGCTCTGCCCTGTCCACCCTGCATGCCGGTGCAGCCTTTCAGACTCAGCTCAACTGTCTCTTTTCCAGAAAACCATCTCTGATTCCCCAACTCTGGATGGGCCAAGTGTCTGTACCGGAGGACTGCTCCCACAGTTCCCTCAAATTGAAATCACCTGTCCATTTGACTGCCTCCTACAAGACAACAACAGACCATACCCCAGTCATGTAGGTGTGCACCAGCCTCAGCCCAATCCTGGGCCGTCAGCTGCTCAGAGGGGTGTGTGAACGCAGCTGGTGCCAGTGCAGGGAAAGTGCGGTGAGTGGAGTCTGCTCAGCTGCCTCGGGTGCGTGTTTATGCTTCTCAGCTCAGGCCAGAGGAGAAGCAGAGCCAGGCATGCACCGGCCTCCAATGACCGTGCAACACAGTCAAGGCCAGGGCTCAGGGGGGTCTAACTGCTTTTCCGTCCCTACCTCTGGCACCCTCAGGGCTGCCCACGTTGCACCCCTGTCCTGCCTGCCTCCACCATGAGCAGCTGCACTGTTGAGGGTTACCTGGGGGAACAAGCTGGCTGGCGGTCAGGTACTTCTTATCTGAGAACATGGCGGTCCAAAATTTAATCATGATGCTTATGTCTTCACGCAGCCGCTTCTCTCCTTGAGTAGGAAACTTTGGGGGACAGCTTCAAACAACCATAAGAGGACAACGGCTGAGTGTCTGGAGTCAGGGACTAGAGGCCAGTCACACAAAGCAGTGAGAAGGTGATGCAGACAATTTCTTAATGACAAAAGGTCAGCCCAAAGCCAGTCATTAGCAAGGATGATCTGGCCCATTCCCATGGGAAGGTGTGGTGGCTCGGGAGCCCTCTTATGCCCTCCTCCCTCACTGCCCACAGCAGCCCCTACAGCTTTCCACTGAAGCTGCACTTGTGGCAGATCAGGGCAAGGAAGCTGCACTCACACAACAGCACAGCCTATGGGTGCAGAGCCCCAGGCAGTGGGTGTTTGCAATTCTTCGTGCAATAAGCCTTCACATTAACAGGGAAATTAAATGGACGCACTTAATCTCCTAAATCAGTTGAACTGAGGGAAAATTTGCCTACATCTCGCTGGGAGGCTAGCTCTAAGTACACGGGACACATGCACAGGGCTGAAGGGTATTTAAATCCACAGGGCCAGGGATACTGAAGGAGGAGGTTGGTGAGCACAACTGGGCAACTGTGTATTCCTGTGAGTGACTTCCTGGGGGTCTGGGGCGATGGAGCACTTGGAGGGGCTGGGCCGTCCCTGGATGCCGCACAGCACATCTTGGGGGAGTACCTGAAGTAGTCAAAGGCAGTGGAGTAGATCTTCTCGCGAAGCACATTGCGGATGGTTGCATTTGGAACCACATCGGCATGCAGGAGGGACAGCCCCAGGGTCAGCAGCCTGTGAGGGAGCCCCGGACCCGGTCAGAGCAGGAGCCTGGCCTGGGGCCAAGTTCACCTTATGGACTCTCTTCCCTGCCCTTCCAGGAGCAGCTCACTGAAATGTGTTCCCCGTCTACAGAAGTACCGTGATACACAGACGCCCCATGACACACTGTACACACCAGGGGCCCTGTGCTCCCCAGGAAGAGGGCCCTCACTTGAAGCGGGGCCCGATGGCCGCCACATGCCGGTTCATGCTCCCCTTGGCCCCACCGATGTTCAGGGACATGGAGCGCTGCAGCAGGCTGGAGAAGATCTCCACTTGGTCAGAGCTGCAGTACTTGGCGATCTCAAACCGCTGCACCAGGAACTGAGCGAAAAGAGGAAGACGCTGTGGTGGTGGGGCTGAGCCGGGCTAACCCTGGGGCCGGCAGAGACAGCTGAGGAGGGGTTCTGGGCTGACTGGCCGAGCTTGCCGAAGGCCTTGGGCTCGGCTACCCCCACCCCAGGAACAGTCCTGGCCCCCCAGGTGGAGCACCCCACAGCCTTGGTCGGGGAACAGGCACGTACGTCGATCCAGATGTAGTGGGGGGTCACTTCGGGGGGACAGGGTTTGGGTTGACTTGCTTCCGAGGCAGCCAGGGGGTCTGCTTCCTTTATCTCAGCAGAAAACAGGCCAAATTTCTGCTCCACTGTCATGTGCCAGCCCCTGCCATCTCCCGCATGAACTACAGGTACAGAAGGAATGTTAGCTCCTCTGTGAAACACAAAAAGGGGCTACTGTCAAGTTTTCTCTAATTAAAAAAAGGAACACGTGCTCACTGAATAAGATTTAGAAACCAAGAAAAGTATGAAGAAAAAAATGAAGATCGCCTATAGTCCCACATCCCAGGGTCATCTGTGTCAGTGCTTGGTGTATTTTCTCCAGCCTCTCGAGGCTGCATTCTGTTCAACCCGGTTCACCGTGTGGACATTGCAGGTGTGAGGTGGCAGCACCCGGGATGTACCTGATGCCCTGACAGGCACTGGGTAGGTGACTCTTCTCTATAACCCTGATAACCCTCTGTGGCTGTGAGCGGGAAGACCCCTCTGTGGGCTGCTGAGCTGGCAAGGGCAGAAGAGGGTTCTGGATCCAGGGCCTGGCTCCTCCTCTCCACCCCACACAGACCCTACCCGATACCTTCATCCCGCTAACCAGATTAGGAAGGCCCATGGAGCCGAGGCGAGCCTGCAGCCACCATGGCCAGGCCTGGGAGCCCAGGGTCAGGCTGCTCCCATGGCCCAGTCATGCTCAGCCAGGTCCCCATTCCGTGGGGGGGCATGAGGGGTGCCCAGAGGGAGCAGCATGGTGCCCGGGAGACACCTGGGTGCTGCAGAGAGTAAGAGGTGCAGCTCACACATGGAAAGCCCCCATGATTTCTGGGTGTTTTTACAAGGAGACCAACAAACAGCATTTGGCATCTGGCCAAAGAGGATTCTATCCCTCTGTTGTCCCAGCAGCACCAGCTTCTACAAGGGCTCCAAGCGCCTGTGCAGAGGTGGCAACGAGGCCTAGTGAGTAGAACACACACCGCGGCTCCCTCCCCAGTACCCATCCCCTCCCTTCTTCCTCATGAGGTGGATCAGGGTGGCCACGTGGCCAGTCACAGGGCTCTCAGCCAGGGTCCCTGCTGGCTGAGGCGGCCACTGTTCTCCCCGGCCACTCTAATGAGCCAGGGAGAGTGAACTGGGCAAGGCCCTGGGAACACATGCCAGGGTGAGCTTCATAAGGTCAAGGCAGCTGGCCTCTGCCCTTTGCACTCTGTCCTTGTCTTCCTTCCTGCTGGGAGGCACAGAAGCCATCTGGAGGCTGTGAGGGTGGAGACAAAGGCCACATAAGCCCAGGATGGCCAGGAGCCGACAGGAGCCTGGGGCGGGGCTCTGTCTGCTGCTTCCCTCTAAGCTGCCCATGGGGTGAGGACTCCTGGGGGACGAGGCACTACAGCCTGCTTTGTGTTTCCTGCAGACCGATTAGTCTTATGGAAGCAGACAAGGGAGCAAAAAAATGGCGGTGGGGGGGACCCCAGAACTGCCACGGACAAGAAGCCATCGAAGAGACACACTCCCATCTATTTGTTAAACAACCACATCCTGGTGGCTGCCTCTGTGCCAGGGCCTCGTGGACTCTGGGCATGGTGCTCTGAATGAAGACAAACATGACCACACAGTCTATGGTGGGGACCACAGACAACAAGAAATAAGCTACACACACTGAGAAACACTAAGAAACAGCAGTGCGAGTGAGCGTGTGGCCAGGTGGCCAGGGAGAGCCCTGGCAAGGAGGGGACATCTGAGATGAGCCCTGGAGGAGACGCAGGAGTGAGGCGCAAGGCACGGCCATCTGAGAAGAGGGAATGCATGACGCGGCCTATGGTGGGAGCAGCCCAGGAGGGCAGCTTCAAAAGTGAAACTGATGGGATGTGCTGAGAATCATCCGTGGGAAGTGCAAGCAGGACCCCAGCATGGCCACAGCACAGCAAGCGAGGGGAAGAGAGAGGATGGAAGTCAGGTGGGAAGGGGGCTTGCAGGTCACAGAAACAAGCCCACCTTCGAGTCTGTAGGGGGGCTCTGATTCCCCCCTGGCTTGCGCCAACCGCATGTGGAGAAGGGGAAGATGCCTGGGGTTGGGGAGCAGGAGGCCAGGCCAGGGGGCAGCAGCTGGGATGCTGGGACTTGTCAGATCCTGGATAAACCTCAAAGGTGAAGGTGATGGGATGTGCTGAGAGTCATCAGTGGGATGTGCATAAGAGGGAGTCAAAGATGTCTGAGCAGAGAGAAGGACCTCGCTGGCATCTACAGTGAAGGGAGGGACCTCGCTGGCATCTACAGTGAATGGAGGGACCTCGCTGGCATCTATAGTGAAGGGAAGGGTCACGCTGGCATCTACAGTAAAGGGAGGGACCTAGCTGGCATCTACAGTGACGGGAGGGACCTCGCTCACATCTACAGTAAAGGGAGGGGCCACACTGGCATCTACAGTAAAGGGAGGGGCCCCACTGGCATCAACAGTGAAGGGAAGAACCACCCTGGCATCAACAGTGATGGCGGATGGGCGACCAGTGCAGCGGTGTCTGGAGCTGAGGTCGGACCCATTAGTTGGGGCTGCTAATCAGTTCACCATGCAGGCCGTGGGCCAAGCCACTGAAGGGATCCACCTGGACTAGGAGTGACTGGGCTGGGTAAGCAGTGGAGCTGGCCAGAGTAGCCAGGCAGGGAGGAGGAGCCCTGGGGCATGCCAGTACTGAGAAGGCCCTGAGCTCAAGAAGGTCCCTTTATTCTGGAGGATGAAAGGGCTACAAAAATTACAAAGGCCTTAAGTCCCTGGGAAAAGCAGTTAGGCTCCCAAAACAGCTGCTTTCAAGACCCAGAACTCTGAAGGAGGCTGTGAGCAGCTTTCCCTGAGCTGATCTGTCCTCCTACCATCTGGGACCTGCTAGTGATATCTGTACTCCAACTGCCCTGCCCCCAGGGGTCAACCAACCCACTCCTATCTGAGGACCCACTCCTATCTGAGGACCAGACAGAGAGGCCAGAGGTTCAAGGGCACCTGGACTAAGGAAGTGGAGAGGAGAGAGACAGATCTGGGCTCCAGAGCCCCAGGTACAATGTGAGGGCTGACACGTGGTCAGGAGCACCCCCAGTGCCCTGTGAAATGGGAACGGCTACAGCCCCTACTCTTTTTCTTTTTTTTTTGAGACGGAGTTTCGCTCTTGCTGCCCAGGCTGGAGTGCAATGGTGCGATCTTGGCTCACCGCAACCTCCGCCTCCTGGGTTCAAGCGATTCTCCTGCCTCAGCCTCCTAAGTAGCTGGGATTACAGGCACATGCCACCACACCCGGCTAATTTTGTATATTTAGTAGAGACAGGGTTTCTCCATATTGGTCAGGCTGGTCTCGATCTCCCGACCTCAGGTGACCCACCCGCCTCTGCCTCCCAAAGTGCTGGGATTACAGGCGTGAGCCACTGCGCCTGGCTGAGCAGCCCCTACTCTTAAGGCCCACCGAGGTCTGAGGCTGAAGCAGCATATGGAAAGGAATCCTGACCATAGCAGCACTGTGTCCTGACAGTCACAATTTGTGGTGAAACCAGGGCTTTCTGGTGACCCCAGAAAACATCAGTGCCGGCTCTGCCAGCACCCAGACACCTGGTACCCCGAGACTGGCAAGGGGACTGGAAGAGGGCAGTGGCCTCCAGGCTCCCTCCACACTGCCCAGTGCTGTGTGCACACAAAGGACCACGGGTCAGACAGATAGAGGCCGAGCTGTGGGGCTGTGTGCCACCCAGAAACTCCGGGGAAAGGGGCCAGTGGCGGTCCCCCCTCCCCTGCGCCTCACCAGAGTGCCAAGGGCCCAGACACCATGTGAGCAGCAGCCAGCGGGGCGGGGGGGCCTCCTGAGCCCGTGGCCTTCCTGGGGGTGCATCAATGCCTGGTCACCTGGGGAAGAGAAGACGAACACAGTCACCCAGACAGCCATCAGCGAAGAAGGGAGGGAAGGGCGATGAAGGGACGCACCTGGGGGTCTCTGGCTGGGGCACCAGGGGCAGCCCAGCAGGAGACTGTGACCACAGAGCCTGGTAGTTGGATCTGACAGCCAGGAAGAGTAAGGACCAGCGAACAGGTCTAGGGAGTTCGGTGGGTGCAATACCTGCCCCTCTAACACAGGACATTAAGGACACCCAGGGGCCACCTAGGCCAGGGGGCGCTGGTGGCAGACACACAATTCTTGGCCTGCGGGTGTGGTAGCAGGAGGCCTGGGCAGGGCCCTTCCCAAGCTGGCCACATTTACATAACAAAAGGTCAAAATTGGAGCCACTTGTGCAAGGGCTATTTATAAGAACCAGTCTCAACCGCTTTTGGCTCCCCCGTTCCTTCCCTTCCTGATCTGCTCTCACCGCCTCCCTGCCCAGAGGGCCCAGCCCCCTAGCCCGCCTGGCCTGACCACATGGCCTTCCCTCTCCAGAGGTTTCACTGCCTAAGGGCTCACCCAAGCTGCAGGCCTGGGCTTTCAATACCGGCCCACCAAAGCCTTGGGCAGCTGCCGCCAGGAAACGAGGGGTTCCCTCCCACCCCCAGAGCTCTGGGTCCTGCAGGAGGGGGGATCCTGAGGTGGTGGGTCCTTGCACCCCACACCTGCCAGCCTGGGCCCCCACGGAATAGAGCCGGGGTCGGGGAAGGGGCGTGCAGCGGCCCGTCCCCGTTTCCCCTTCCCCCACTCCACCCCCAGGGCCAGGGAGGCTCAGCAGGTCCCTCAGGAATGTGACCAGACCCGGGGTGCCGGCCCAGAGCTGGGAGGCCTAGGCTGCAGCTGGCCAGCTGTCTCTCCAGCCCCTAGTGCAGCTCCCCTCTGGGTGGGGGGTGTGAGGGGAGGGGGTGCATGGCTGGTCCAGGACCCCACCAAAGGCCCAGAGGGCAGCAGAACCAGCTCTGTTGGTAGGAAGCCCAAGGGCGTCCACAGTTAGCAAGGGTTGGGCCCAGTGGGCTAATGCTGGGATGAGGCCAGTAGGGCAGGGGCCACTGAAACACTGGCGGGAGCAGTCGAAAAACTGGGTAGAGGGTCTCGGTGGCACACTGGAGGCAATCAGATACCACCATCCAGCCCTGTGCCACTTCATCTGCTCCCCAACCACTGCCCCTCAGGACCCAGTCAACCATGGGTAGAGCGCATGCCAAACTCTGCAGCCAGGGGTCACCTGACCTTGCCAGAGGCCAGGCCAGCTACTGGATGCCGCGCAGGGAGTGGGTGGCAGAATAGGACTGGGGGGCACCTGAGTGCCATGGGGGTGGGAACACCCTCCGTCAGTGCCCACTGCCTGGCCCTGTCGGGCACTTTACAAGCCCAAGGCTAGCACTAGGTCTCCCCACCAAGGAAGGATGGCCCCAGGCTGGGTCAGCTGTGATGTAGAACAGGGCAGGGCTCCTCCCTGAACCCTCCACTTGAGTTAGGGGGTGTCAGAGCCACCTGCAGAAAGTTCACAGCAAGCACAATGCCACCATGCGTGCCATCCACACCAGCTGGGCCAAGTCTGGGCCACATCTAGGCCGCCACTGTGTCTGCGAGCAGCAATGCAGCCTCACCCCATGGCGGGGCAGGGGGTGGCACACGCCATCCTGCTGCGAAACGCCTACTAAGCACTGCTCCTTCCTTCTCAGCCACAGAGCTCTGCCCTACCCGCTCACCGCTGGACATGAAACAGCAAGTGCCTATCCTGGAGGGCTCCGCCTGGGGAGTGCCAGGTAACTAGAAACACGGCTCTGGGTGCTGGCCCGGATGCTGGTGCTCAGCCCTGGAAGCAGCTGACTGCAGGCTGCGATGAGAATGCCACCTAGCACCCAGCAGCCCCTGGCAGCAGGCCCGGGCAGCACGCCTATCAGCCCCCAGGCTAGCACGCCCAGCCCTGGCCTACTGCCCATCCAGAAACGCTGGCTCCCAGGACGCCCAGGATCTGAGGCAGTAGGGCAGCAGGCCTGGGCTATCGGGGCCAGCTGGGCATTCGCCTAAGGCTGTGACCCATCCCCTCCCTAGGACAGAGCCTTCAGGGGTCCAGGGGAGAGGCAAGAAGGGTAGCACAGAAACTATCTCCCAAGTTAGGATCCCTCAGCTCCAGGATTCCCCCTGTAGGTGGACTGGCCCCAGCTGGGAAGGACAAGAGCCCCAGCAGCTGGAGGGAGGGCCAGCTCTCTCTGCGGAATCCTGAAGGTCTGCAGGAAGGAACACAAAGCCTCGGGGTTACCTTCCCAGGCCATCTGTTAGAGCAGACACACGGCCCTGTTTACGGAACAGCCAACATGCCAACTGCTCTCCTTTCCTTCCCCTCCCAGTCCCCGCCACAAAAAAGCCAGAAAGCCATGTCCCCAGACACTGAGGGCAGGCCCAGGGCCCAGGCAGGTGCTAGCGGGCTGGAACAGCACTCAGATACTCCAGCCTCTCAAGCCACTGGTGGCACATGCCCAAGCTCTGTAGAACTGGGCCAGCCACAGCAGCCCCACCCCCGCTCTGTTCGCCCTCAAAGAACTTACAGTAAGGCAGCTGCTCTGCAAGGCCCAGTCAGAGCCTACCCGGCCCAGCAAGTCCATTCTGTGGCAAGAAAAACCTTGGGGACACACATACCCAACTGCTAAGTAAGATTATCTCTGGGGAGCGGGATTACAGAAAAACCATAGTATCTGTATATTATGTTCATTTCTGTAATACTCAACATTTTAAAAAGTATTACCTTTTTTTTTTTTTTTGATGGAATCTCATTCTGTCCCCCAGGCTGGAGTGCCATGGCGATCTGGGCTCACTGCAAACTCTGCCTCCCAGGTTCATGCCATTCTCCTGCCTCAGTCTCCCGAGTAGCTGGGACTACAGCCGCCTGCCACCACGCCCGGCTAATTTTTTGTATTTTTAGTAGAGACGGGGTTTCACCGTGTTAGCCAGGATGGTCTCGACCTCCTGACCTTGTGATCCGCCTGCCTCAGCCTCCCAAAGTGCTGGGATTACAGGTGTGAGCCACCGTGCCCAGCCAAAAGTATTACTTTTAAAACCCTAAAAATACAAAGGGCAGAAATGATGCAGAGACATGGATGAACCTCACAGTCGTGGCACTGAGTGGAAGAAGACTTTTGCGAGAGTACAGACTGCATGACTCCATTTACATCAAGTTCTAGAATAGGCAAAACGGACTGAGGGTAAAAACCAGAGCAGAACAGGCTGTGAGCGACAGGTGAGGACTGTCCAGGATGGGGCGAGGGACAAGCGCCCACTGCCTGGCCCTGACAGGCCTATCCAGGACGGGGCATGAGGAACTCTTTGGGGTGAGGGCAGCTCTCTAGCTTGCTGGGAATCTGGGTTAAGGTAAATGAAAATACAATTTTAGGCCCTTAATTGTATGTAAACTTTACTTCCAATGAAACCTCCAGACAGAGGCTTTCACAGGACATTCTCATCTCAGAAGCTCAGCACGATACCCTGGAAACACCACCAGCTAACCTTTCCTGGGCACTGTTGTATGCCCGACCATGTGCTATGTCACTGGAGCCGCAGGGCCACCCAGGAGCCTGTGCGTTCTGTCCATGTGATCAGGTGGGCTCCTCTCAATCTTCACACAGCACAGCTGAGCCTCAAACCCAGCACTCACCCTGACCTCTCACCTCCCCACAAGGTAGGAAAACCTGGGGCTGAAAGTGTGCAGGGACATGTCATCTTTAGCCTTGGGCAAAGGCAACCTTTCCCACTGATGATTTCCAGATCACCCAGGGGTATTGGTTCTGCCTCAATTTTCCAACTGGCACAGAGATCAAGGGCGACGGTGAAGCAGATTGGAAGGGCAAAGACGCCACGGTGGGAACAGGTTCCTATCCCTCCCGGCTGCTCTCCAGCTGGGTGGCCCTCAGTGCATCTCCAGAGGGCAGTCAAAAGCCCCAGGCCAAGACCACCCTGCACTCTGGATCCCTCTACTCGCTCACCAAACACAGACCAGCCAAATAACCAACGGGGATGGCAGAGGCCAGGGCACTGTGCACCCCTCGCTGCCTCCTGACACTCGAAGCAGCCCCCCATTGGGGGACCCACTAGCCCATGATCCTACGCGAGCGAGGTCAGGCCACACCTGCCCGTGTGTGGAGCCTCTGGTCAGTCCACATGGCTGCAGGGGCCTGTGGGGAGGCTGGAACAGGGTTACCTCAAGGCCTTTCTTCTAAGCACCCAGCAAAGGGCAGGAGAGTGTGCTCTAGTCAGCATCTTTCAAAGGCCAGGAGAGAGGAGGTTTTCAGATCAAAGTGATCCCTGCTGAGGCAGAAAGCAGAAAACTCCAGCCCCAATTCTGAGAGGCACTGCCCCAACCCAGCCTGGATACCCACCTTGCCTAGAACCTTGGCCTCCAAGAAGCCAGGCATTCAGAACTGCTCCAGGTGCTGGGCCTCCACATGGCTCCTTCTGGAGGCCATGACTCTGGGAGACAGGAACACATCTCACGCCCATATCCAGGCCCACAGGCGGGGGTCAAACTCAGGGTCAAACTCATCTCAGCCACATGATAACCCTGCCTTCAGACTGAAACTTCTGGCTCACGCCCAGCCAGGAGGGAGGCCTGGGGAGAAGGGTGAAGACCAGGAAAGGGCGCCACCCCAAGCAGGCCATCCCGCCTAGCCCTCCTAGGATCCTTCTCATCCACCTTCCTCCCTGGAAGCTATCCTTTACTACCAAGAAAGGGGCTTCCTGCAGGAGGCCTGGAGCTATGCTGGAGGACTGAGGAGAAGCTCCCCCCAGCCCACTCCCAAGGAGCAGCACCTTAACCACCTCCCAGCCTAAACAAAAGTAACAGTGAAATGAGAACCCTCCAGCTAACGCCAAGACAGCTGAGAGTGAGCAGGGCCGCCCACGGCCCGCCCGAGCTCCACTGTCAGGTGGGAGGGACAAGCATGCCAGGCTGAGAAGCCATGCTAGGCAGGGCAGGGCCACCAGGCAACTTCCACAACCCAGAGGTCTAAGTACATCTGACCAGGGTCAGAGAGAGCCCCAGACTTGCTGCCACTGCTCCCAAACTTCAGTCTAAGGTCAGCATCGGCCCTGGTTCCAGACCAACCCCCAACTATAGTCACCTCATACTTCAGGTGTGGCCGGGACAGATGCAGCTGCAACGGGTGGCCCTGTGTGAGCTCAGCCTCTTCCCAGGAGCCCCTAAGCCATGGGAGAGACTGCCTGGAAGGCACAAGGCAGCCAGGCAGGAGGCAGCCAGTATCCAGAAGTGCCCCAAGGCCCAGCCCCTGGACACACCAACCAGCCCTGCACAGTCACAAGCCCAGGACTTTGTTCATCCTATCCCCATGGCCTGGAGTCCTCCCTGAGGAAGCCTTGGTAGACAAGAGATAGCTCCAAGGGGCGAAGGCTGCACCTCGCCCACCGCCACAGCCCTGTATGAGATGGCAGCCTACATGTGGGCAGGTCTGATCTCCTCAATCTTCCCACAGGCCCAGTGAGCGGGGCGTTATCTCTGCAGTTTCAGATAAGAAATTAAAGGTTCTTGGGGGTTAAGCAACTTGCCCAGGGTCACAAGAGCATGTAGGTAGCAGAGTGAGGACCTAAAGCCTGACTCCAGTGTTGTAGTCTGATGACCCCCCCGCCCAACGCAGGCAGGGCCAGGGATGCCACTCACACATGGCTTCCAACTGCCAAGCTGCTTGGGGGAGCTAGAGGAGGCACCGCCCTCCATGCACTGGTGTGCCAGGAGCAGGGACTCCAGTCTGCACCTCCACCCTCACTCCCCCACCCCCCAGCACCACCTGCCTATCCACAGCAGGGCCCCACCTGGGTGTATTCTCCCAAACTCACTGTGAGGGCATGGGGTCTGCCCAGCTCCTCCACCAGAAGTGACAAGGTGGAGCCCCCATGCAGCCTGCTTTGGAGGCCCAGGTTGTGCTTGCTGCTCCTCTGGGAACACCCCCACCCTCCATGACCTCCTTCCCTGTCCCTTCAGGAATGGGCTGGTGGTGGGTGGGGCTCACTGCTCTGGGCAAGCCCAGCCATGTAATCCAGCCCAGACCTGGATGCCGGCCAGCAGCTCCTGGCTCTCCTCCCAGACCATCCTCCTGGAAAGCAACAGGCTCCACAAATGCCAGGAGCCCAGCTCTCTCCAACGCAGCTTCTACAAAATAAACACTCGGGTTCCACTCAACACATTGGTGATGCAGCGATTGGGACCTGAGGCTGGCCTCCTCCTCCTCTGCTCCTCAGGCCAGCCCTGTGGCCTAAAGTGAGGGAGGTAGCATCCACCCCAGCCCAGTGACTTTCCCAAGCCCATCCTGAAATGCCCATGGGACCTACTGATGACCTCGTACTGCCCACAGCAGGGCCAAGCCCTGCATGGTCCGAGCCACCCGCCCATGGGTACTGTCCCTTCTGAGGTGAGGAAGCCCGGGCTAACACCCCAGCACAAGGAAAAGGCTGGAATGGGCTGCTGAGAGGAGAGCTGGACCGAAAGTGCCTCCAAACTGTGCTTCCCCCAGAAGGTACAGCCTCAGTCCCCTCCCTCTCCTCATCACTTCCGGGTTTGGAGCCAGCAAGGAATGAGGCCAGGAAGACCTTGGAGACCTGCAGCTGATTTCCCCTGCTAGTGCTGGCACCAAGGAGGGCCCCAGGCCTGGCACAGTCTGGCTGACAGTTCTGAGACAGGATATTGGAGACAGGCAGGGGAACATTGCTTTAACAAGCAGAATAACGGCCAGGTGCGGTCTGTAATCCCAGCACTCCGGGAGGCTGACATGGGTGGATCATGAGGTCAGGAGATCAAGACCATCCTGGCTAACACTGTGAAACCCCATCTCTACTAAAAATACAAAAAATTAGCTGGGTGTGGTGGCACGCGCCTGTAGTTCCGCTACTCCGGAGGCTGAGGCAGAATTGCTTGACCCTGGGAGGCGGAGCTTGCAGTGAGCCGAGATCGCGCCACTGCACTCCAGCCTGGGTGACAGAGTGAGACTCTGTCTCAAAAAAAAGAAGCAGAATAACAATTTAAGGTTGTGATAGTGACTACGAATGCTGTGCTCACCTCCAAACTCCATCCCAACACTACCCTGCCCCCTAAGAGGGGCCTGAGCATGGGGTAAAAGGCTCGCTGACAGCCACAGAGCAGGAGCCCACGCAAGACCACCAGAGGATGTGCAGCTGCTGTTCCTAGTAGGTGAGGAAAAAGCAGGAATCTGGCATCCACACATGTCAGGAGGCAAAACAGGCCCTGTGCTGGTTTCTGCAGTCCTCTCCAGCCCACTTCCCTGCTCTTCTTGCTCACTGGCCATGACCCAAGAAACAGCAGCAGCACCACCAGGGATCTTGTTAGACACGCAGAGGCTCAGACTCCATCCAGCCCTAACCACCAGAACCCTGGGGGCTCAAACACACAGTCAAGTCTGAGAAGGGCTAGGTTAGAAGCTTTTTTTCCTTCTTTTGTTTTTACCTGGACACCACTGATTGGAAAGCTCTCTACGGCCTGAAAGCCAAGCGCTCCACAAGTAGTAAACGCTCAAGGGATGGGCATCAAGTGGAAGGAGAAAGCCCCCAAAACGAAGATACATGTCCCATGTACACAAGCTCACAGGCTGGTGAATACAAACGGTAGACCTAGAATGTGCCACACCAAGGCTGAGCGTGTTACCACAGGTACCAGAATGGTGACCACGCTGGAGGGTTCCACAAACCCTGATCAGAGAAGTAGGCGTGAGTGGCAGGCAGAGAACACAGCTCTGTGTGGCAGGGAGGGAGGACAAGCAGTGGCAGCACAGCAGACAACAGGTGGAAATTCTACATGAAAGGCACTAAATGGGCGAGGAAAGCCTGGGCCGCCCAGGTGGAAGGGACTATCGTGATCATCTCTCTCACCCTAGGGACACCTTAAAAGGAGGTAACTGAGCCCCAAAGGGAGGCACCCAGCACAGCTGAGTCACAGAGCTGCAGCCATCCAACCCACAGCTCCAGGAGGGACTCTCCAACTTCACAATTTCAAAATCAACCCTAGCAGCTAACAATTTCTTAATGCCAAGTAAAGACTAGAATTAGAAACAAACAGAAACCCTATCATCTTCTACCATCATTACTTCACAAAAGAAAACATTTCAATGATCAAAGAGCAGGAAGAACTACTGGCAGTCCTGCACCTATGCAGTTCTCCAGGCCTGGCAAAGGCTCTGAGGCAACCAGCATGAAGGAGCCACTGCACCGTCTGTACGCAACACCGCCTGACCCCCGGGCTGGGACAAGACTGAGATGACATGCTGAAAGGGAATCAGAAAAAACAAAAACACAAAAATTCAACAACAGATACTAAAGACGGGATTTTGACTAGCCAAACAAAGACTAAAAGAGTATCTCCCAGGGATGAAAGGAAAATGGGGATGTTTTTAAACAAGACCAGGACTGTTCCAGAAACAATAAGAACGTCAAAGCCCATCAGGAAAAAGGTAACACCAAATGTTGGCCAGGCAGTAAGGCAACCAGAAGTCTCACATACTTTATAATTTTTTATTTTTTTGAGAGAGAGTCTTGCTCTGTCACCCAAGCTGGAGTGCAGTGGCGAGATGGCTCACTGCAACCTTCGCCTCCCAGGTTCAAGCAATTCTCCTGCCTCAGCCTCCCGAGTAGCTGGGATTACAGAAGTGCAGTGCGCCACCACCCGCAGATAATTTTTGTATTTTTCGTAGAGATGGGGTTTCACCATGTTGGCCAGGCTGGTCTCCAACTCCTGGCCTCAAGTGATCTGCCCATCTCAGCCTCCCAAAGTACTGAGATTACAGGCATAAGCCACCGCACCTGGCCAGAAAACTCACATGGTTTAGAAAACCCTTGGATGGCACAATCTAAAACTGTGGGCCCAAGGCCGTGGGTGGTGGCTCACGCCTGTGATCTCAGCACTTTGTGAGGCCAAGGTGGGTGGATCGCCTGAGGTCAGGAGTTTGAGACCAGCCTGGCAAACATGGTGAAACCCCGTCTCTACTAAAAATACAAAAATTAGTTGGGCGTGGTGGCAGGCTCCTGTAATCCCAGCTATTTGGGAGGCTGACGCAGGAGAATCACTTGAACCCAGGAGGCAGAGCTTGCAGTGAGCTGAGACTGCGCCACTGCACTCCAGCCTGGGCGACAAGAGCCAACTTCGTCTCTAAATAAATAAAGCAAACAAGCTAGCTAGCTAGCTAGCTGTGGGCCCAAAAACTCACCCAAGGTATACGCCAACAAGAATGCACACGTATGCACACCAAACAGGCAGGCACACTCATGAAGGCCCAACAATGGAAAACAACTATGCCCACCCTGAGAAGGGACAGCTGCAGGTATAAAAGACTATGAGCCAGCAGTGAACAGGACAGAACGTTTAGGTTGAACTGTATGAATTTACCTTTTAGGGGTAAAAAAACAGCTGGCTGCTGATAATTTCACATGGTTTGACTTACAAACAACGCAGATGAATCTCTCAAATATACTTTTGAGCAAAGATGCCAGAGCCAAAAAGACTATTACAGTTCCATTTGCATACATTCAAAAGCAGGCAGCACTAATCTTATGGGTGGGGGTTGAGAGTGACTACAAGCTTCAGGATACGTGAGGGGCTTCCAGGGTTGTGTTTCGCACTCTGGATGCTAGTTACAAGGGCATAATCATTTGTGAAGAACTCTTGGAGCTGTGCACACTTCTTACGTAGGCTGTCCTTGAATTCAATACGTGCACAGAAACCTTCAGAAGGGAAGCAGAGATCAACTTCATCCTGATCAGCAAGTAGACTCAGTCCAGGCAGCAACCTCTCCTGGACCCCCAACCAATAACAACAACACAGGAAGCAAAATATTGGCAGGACAGCTGGCAACGCGGCAATGTCCAGGATGGAGTGCCCATCCTAGAGGAGGGAGCTCACACAAGCCAGCCAGGAGCCCACAGGAAACAGAGAGACTACTGTAAATCCTTATTAAGAGCAGACTCATGTCTGCTATCTAAAAGATAAAAACCTGATAATGTTTTTAAGTTGTCCTAAGGTCCAATTGACTTTTTTTTTTTTTTTTTTTGAGACAGAGTTTTCCTCTTGTTGCCCAGGCTAGAGTGCCATGGTGCAATCTCGGCTCACCGCAACCTCCGCCTCCCGGGTTCAAGCGACTGTCCTGCCTCAGCCTCCCGAGTAGCTGGGATTCCAAGTGTGCACCACCATACCTGGCTAATTTTGTATTTTTAGTAGAGACGGGGTTTCTCCATGTTGGTCAGGCTGGCCTGGAACTCCCGACCTCAGGTGATCCGCCCGCCTCGGCCTCCCAAAAGTGCTGGGATTATAGGCGTGAGCCACCACACCCAGCCCCAGTTGACACTTCTAAAGGAGAAGGGGTTCTGCAAATCCTGAAAGGCAAGCCCAGGAGAAACAGGAAATCTGGGAGCACGGCAAGCAAGGTTCAAACAGGACACCAAATAATTCCCAGCAACCGCCTCCAGCAGGTCCTGGTGGCAGCCAGGTAGGGCAGGAGCCAGCTGGGCATATCAAAGGGAGGAAGCCAAGAAGAAAATGGGCGAGACTCTCAGGGATTTGGGGTCAAAGGAAGCCGCTGGGAGAAGGAAACAGCCCACTTGCTCCTTCATAGGTAATCAACACACAAACCCCCCAGTGCCTCAAATGGCTCAGGAGCTACAGCCAAAGATCAAGGATCAAGTTATTTTACTCCAAGAAAGAAAAAAAAAAGAAAAAGTTATACATTCGGCATCCATTGGAAGTTTTGTGATTGTTTGGAGACAGGGTCTTGCTCTGTGGCCCAGGCTGGAGTGCAGTGGCGCGATCATAGCTCTAATTTATGGGCTCAAGGGATCCTCCCGTCTCAGCCTTTTGAGTAGCTGGAACTAAAGGTGCATGCCACGATGCCCAACCAATTTTTAAAATTTTTTGTAGAGATGAGGTCTCACTATGTTTTCCAGACTGGCCTCAAACTCCTGGGCTCAAGTGATCCTCCTGCCTCAGCCTTCCAAAATGTTGGGATTACAGGTGTGAGCCACTGTGCCAGGCCTTAAAAAGCAATTTTTACAGATAAAATTGGGCAACTGCTATGGAAAATATTACAATCTATGGTCCTGTGCCTGAAAAGCCTCCAAGTGTGATACTTTATAGAGAAGAGGTCTCTCCTGTCCAGTAGGTAACTTGAAAGTGTCTAAGAGACAAGTGCCCAAGAACTCAAAGAATGAGAGAGGGATCCATTCAAACTCAGGGAGAAAAATGCTCACAAAGTTTCACTGTACTTCTAAACTGAGTCTCAGTGGTGCATTAAGGAACTGGATTTAGAGACAGAAAACAAAATAAACTGGCACTTCTCTGCCTCAAGAAGCATAGCTTGGGGGTGAAAAGTCAGCTACTTAGAAAGCAGCAAAAACAAAACCCAGAAACCCACCCAAATGCTCACTGCCAGCAGGACAGGTGATTATGTGTGGATGGCGCCACCTTGGACACTGAAATGGAGAATGGGAACGCAGGAACTGCTGCTCCTGGTGTCCCAAGAGTGCAGGACACCCGGCTCCCAGCGAACTGAGCCAAAATCATTCGCAGTTTCAGGATCCAGACAAAGGTGGGAAACCGACAAAAGCCAGCGAATGGCTGACCCGCAATTCAGAAGACTGTTGGCTTCTAGAGGGAAGTGGGAATAAGCCAGGGAGAAGTGCATGGGGTGTCCCAGGAACTTGGGAGGCTATTTCTTATGTGGCCATGAGGGAACAACGGTGTCACGCTTAGTGGGACACCCACGATTCAACCAATAGTGGGTTTACCACTACTTATCTATTCTTTAAGATTTGTGCACACACATATATACGTGTAATTTACCTTTGTTTTTTTTTTTTTTTGAGTATTCCTCTGTCGCCCAGGCTGGAGTGCAGTGGCACAATCTCGGCTCACTGCGACCTCTGCTGCCCGGGTTCAAGCGATTGTCCTGCCTCAGCCTCCCGAGTAGCTGGGGATTACAGGCACCCATCACCACACCCAGCTGATTTTTGTGGTAGAGACAGGGTTTCACCATCTTGGCCAGGCTGGTCTCAAACTCCTGACCTCAAGTGATCCGCCTGCCTCGGCCTCCCAAAGTGCTGGGATTACAGGGGTGAGCCACCACGCCCGGCCTATTTACACCTTTGTAAATAACTTCTTAGAGTTCAATGGCTAAGTATACTAAGGAAGCTGAGCCTGCTCTGTGCAGAAGTCTCAAAAGAAAGGAAAGTCGGGTGTGGTGGTTCATGCCTTTAATCTGAGCACTTTGGGAGATTGAGGCAGGAGGATCGCTTGAGCCCAGGAGTTCAAGACCAGCCTGGGCAACAAGGCAAGACCCTGTCTCATTTATAAAACAAACAAACAAACAAACAAACAAAAAACAGAGAGAGAGAGAGAAAAGAAAGAGAAAAAAGAAAGAGGAAAGAGACCTCCCTGGAAATCCCAATCCAGGGAGAAGCCAAGAGGCTAAAGCTGAGGTGCACTCACAGAGCACCTCCCTTTCACCACCCGAGAGATCACCTGGTCCACAGCCGTCAAACTCAGCAAGGCCACACACTTGGGCAGCTATGACAACAATGCACAAATGAGGGCTTTGGAGGGCTCAGTTCCCACAAGAGATAACCCAGAAAATATCACCCTGTCCTAATCATACAAAGCAAAAGAACCTGGGGCCTCCACACCTGGGGTAGCAGGTATGCTTCACTCAACAGAAGTTGTCCAGGAGGGAGAAATCCCAGGCAACCTCCCAAGGTCTACAGGAGAAAGAAGGGCAGAATCAGAGCCACTCTAAGTGAAAATATCAGCGTTTAGAACACAATCACCCCCCTGCAACCCCTCCAGCCAACCCTCGCCTAGTCCCTGTACCCTCCAATTCAGAGTCCAATAACCCTGAGTTATCTTTCTCAACACCCATCTCATCAAGCCACTCCCCTGCTTAAAGCTTTCAATGGGCCGGGCATGGTGGCTCACACCTTTAATCCCAGCACTTTGGGAGGCCCAGGCGGGCAGATCATCTGATGTCTGGAGTTTGAGACCAGCCTGACCAACATGGAGAAACCCCATCTCTATTAAAAATACAAAATTAGCTGGGCATGGTGGCGCATGCCTGTAATCCCAGCTACTCAGGAGGCTGAGGCAGGAGAATCACTTGAACCCGGGAGGAGGAAGTTGCAGTGAGCCAAGATCGCGCCATTGCACTCCAGCCTGGGCAACAAGAGTGAAACTCTATCTCAAAATACAAAAAAAAAAAATTAAAAAAATAAATAAAGCTTTCAATAAATTCCTGATGCCTAGCATAAAGTCCATGCTCAGGCCTGGCATGCAAAGCACTTCCCACAGGGGCATCAAGCCCACCTCATCCCTTCCACAGACACACCTGAGAGCTCCTGCAGGCCGTGCCCTACTCTGGGAGGAGCCTGCCCCCTCACGACTCCCTCCTCTGTGAAGCCAGAACTGCCTCTGTTGTCCCCCCGCTTCCAACGTCAGCACCAGCTGCCAAGCTGCTTCCCTCCTGCCTACCCCCACCACCCCATAGACCAGTACCCAAAGTTAGACCCTGTGTCCCAAGCAGCCACAGCAGCAGGCATGCAGCAGGCACTCATAAACATTCATTAGGTGAGCAAATGCTGGTCAGACCCAATGCTGAGAAGAGACA
Source organism: Homo sapiens (assembly GCF_000001405.40). NCBI lineage: Eukaryota > Metazoa > Chordata > Mammalia > Primates > Hominidae > Homo > Homo sapiens. The sequence goes on from NC_000022.11 coordinate 18,566,263, forward strand.
GAGTGAAACAACATGTGAAAGATAAGGAGGCACGTGGGGAAGATGGAAATGTCCAGTACCCTCCTTGCCACTGGTTCTAAAATTGTGTTGTTTACATTCTGAAATAGTCAGGGCTCCTAACGAGCATCTGCTTATGTGGCTTCTCTATTACTGTTTTGTGGGGTTTTTTCTGAGACAGGGTCCTGCTCTGTCACCCAAGCTGAAGTGCGGTGGTACAATCATAGCTCACTGCAACCTCGAACTCCTGGCTTCAAGCCATCCTGCAGCCTCAGCCTCCCAAAGTGCTGGGATTACAGGTGTGAGCCACTGCATCTGGGCTGTTGCTGTATTTGATGTTACCATGTACTACAACAGTGCCCTCTTATTCAGTTTTTTTTTTTTTTTTTCCTGAGACGGAGTCTCGCTCTGTGGCCCAGGCTGGAGTGCAGTGGCGTGATCTCGGCTCACTGCAAGCTCCGCCTCCCGGGTTCACGCCATTCTCCTGCCTCGGCCTCCCGAGTATCTGGGACTACAAGCGCCCGCCACCGCGCCTGGCTAATTTCTTTTTGTATTTTTAGTAGAGACGGGGTTTCACCGTGTTAGCCAGGATGGTCTCGATCTCCTGACCTCGTGATCTGCCGCCTCAGCCTCCCAAAGTGCTGAGATTACAGGCGTGAGCCACCGTGCCCGGCCAAAAAAATTTTTTTTAAAGGCTGAGCACAGTGGCTCACGCCTGTAGTCCCAGCACTTTGGGAGGCTGAGGTAGGTGGATCACTTGAGGTCTGGAGTTCGAGACCAGCCTGGCCAACATGGTGAAACCCCATCTCTACTAAAAATACAAAAAATTAGCCAAGCGTGGTGGCAGGTGCCTGTAATCCCAACTACTTGGGAGGCTGAAGCAGGAGAATGGCTTTACCCCAGGGGAGGGTGTGGGGTGGAGGTTGCAGTGAGCCAAGATTGTGCCATTGCATTCCAGCCTGGGCAACAAGAGCGAAACTCTGTCTTAAAAAAAAAAATAGGCTGGACGCAGTGGCTCATGCCTGTAATCCTAGCACTTTGGGAGGCCGACGCGGGTGGATCACCTGAGGTCAGGAGTTTGAGACCAGCCTGCCCAACAGGGTGAAATACAAAAATTAGCCAAATGTGTTGGTGCATGCCTGTAATCCCAGCTACTGGGGAGGCTGAGGCAGGAGAATCACTTGAACCTGGGGGAAGCAGAGGTTGCAGTGAGCCAAGATCACGCCATTGCACTCCAGCCTGGACAAGAGCAAAACTCCCTCTCAAAAAAAAAAAACAACAACATTTAAAAAAATACAAAAATTAGCTGGGCGTGGTGACAGGTGCCTGTAATCCCAGCTACTCAGGAGGCTGAGGCAGCAGAATCCCTTGAACCCAGGAGACGGAGGTTGCAGTAAGGAGAGATTGTGCCACTGCACTCCAGCCTGGGTGATAAGAGTGAGACTCTATCCGAAAAACAAAACAAAAAAAGGGCTGGGCACGGTAGTTCACACTTGCAATCCCAGCACTCTGGGAGGCCGAGGCGGGCGGATCACGAGGTCAAGAGATCCACACCATCCTGGCCAACAGGTGAAACCCCATCTCTACTAAAAAATATATATATACATACAAAAATTAGCTAGGTGTGGTGGCGCGCACCTGTAGTCCCAGCTAGCTAGAAGGCCGAGGCAGGCAAATCACTTGAACCCGGGAGGTGGGGGTTGCAGTGAGCAGAGATCGCGCCACTGCACTCTAGCCTGGCGACAGAGCGAGACTGTCTCAAAAAAAAAAAAAAGAAAAGAAAAGAAAAAAAGAAGGATAGCATTGCTTTACACTTTTATAAATCTCTTTAATGTCTAGCCTAATAGAAGAAGCTGGATTCTCATATCTCCTGCATTCAGTCTGTTAGGATATGCGGTTTTGATTAAAGTCTTTAAAGAAATTTGGCCTTACACAGAAAGAAGGAAGGAGTATTTTAATAACTTTTTCAGAAAACTGTCTATTCTTCATTGATATTACACTAAAGCTCGACAAATGAGTTTCTTAAAAGTTGCTATGGGCCAGGCGCGGTGGCTCACGCCTGCAATCCCAGCACTTCGGGAGGCTGAGGCAGGTGGATCACTTGAGGTCAGGAGTTCAAGACCAGTCTCGCTAACGTGGTGAAATCCCGTCTCTACTAAAAATACAAAAATTAGCCAGGTGTGGTGGCAAGCGCCTGTAATCCCAGCTACTCAGGAGGCTGAAGCAGGAGAATTGCGCAACTGCACTCCAGACTAGCAACAGAGCAAGACTCCGCTTCAAGGAAAAACATAAATAAAAGTTGCTATGTAGGCCAGGTACGGTGGCTCACATCTGTAATCCCAGCACTTTGGGAGGCTGAGGTGGGCGATCACAAGGTCAGGAGTTTGAGACCAGCCTGACCAACATGGAGATACCCAGTCTCTACTAAAAATACAAAAATTAGCCGGGTGTGGTGGCACGTGCCTATAATCTCAGCTACTTGGGAGGCTGAGGCAATAGAATTGCTTGAACCCGGGAAGCAGAGGTTGCAGTGACCCAAGATCGTGCCACTGTACTCCAGCCTGGGCAACAGAGACTCCATCTCAAAAAAAAAAAAAAAGTTGCTATGTAGGCTGGGCACAGTGGCTCAACACCTGTAATCCCAACACTTTAGGAGGTCGTGGTAGGAGGACTGCCTGAGCCTAGGAGTTCAAGACCAGGAAGATCCCATCTCTGGAAAAAAAAAAAAAAAACAGCTGGGTGTGGTGGCACATGACTGTGGTCCTAACTACTCGGGAGGCTTATGAAGGAGGATCATTTGAGCCCAGAAGGTGAGGCTGCACTGAGCCGTGATTACATCATCACTGCACTCCAGCCTAGGCAACTGAGGGAGACCACATCGTCAAAAAAAATTAAAAATAAAAAAAAAATTGTAAAGCCTCATGCCGGGCATGGTGGCTAATACCTGTAATCCCAGCACTTCGGGAGGCCAGGGCGGGTGGATCACCTGAGGTCAGGAGTTCAAGACCAGCCTGGCCAACATGGCGAAACCCAGACTTTATTAAAACTAGAAAAAATTACACCAGGCGCAGTGGCTAATGCCTGTAATCCCAGCACTTCGGGAGGCTGAGGCGGGCGGATCACGAGGTCAGAAGTTCGAGACCAGCCTGACCAACATGGTGAAACCCCATCTCTACTAAAAATGCAAAAATTAGCTGGGCATGGAGGCGCATGCCTGTAATCCCAGCTACTCGGGAGGCTGAGGCAGGAGAATCGCTTGAACCCAGGAGGCGGAGGTTGCAGTGAGCGAGATCGCACCACTGCACTCCAGCCTGGGCGACAGGGAAAGACTCCGTCTCAAAAAAAAAAAAAAAGAAAAAATTAACCAGGCGTGGTGGCAGGCGCCTGTAATCCCAGCTACTCGGGAGGCTGGGGTAGGAGAATCGCTTGAACCCAGGAGGCGGAGGTTGCAGTCAGCGAGATCGCACCACTGCACTCCAGCCTGGGCGACAGGGCAAGACTCCGTCTCAAAAAAAAAAAAAAAAAAGAAAAAAATTAACCAGGCGTGGTGGCGGGTGCCTGTAATCCCAGCTACTCGGGAGGCTGAGGCACGAGAATGACTTGAACCCAGGAGGTGGAGGTTGCAGTGAACTGAGATTGCGCCACTGCACTCCAGCCTAGGCAACAGCGAGACTCCATCTCAAAAAAAAAAGCCTCATGCATCCTTCCTATTTCATCACACAGAAAAGTAAAAATATGTGTAATTAAAGGTCTAGATTTAATACTCAGTCATCTGTACTGCCTCCCCTGGACATGTGTAGAACTGGTGGGTCTCAGCCCCCAGTGCTGGCTAACAGTGGGGAACACAACTCTGGCAGTGCAAGTGTCCACCCAGGGCAGAGGCCAGTGATTTTTTTTTTTTTTTTTTTTTTTAGATGGAGTCTCGCTCTGTCACCCAGGCTGGAGTGCAGTGGCAAAATCTTGGCTCACTGCAACCTCCGCCTCCCAGGTTCAAGCCATTCTCCTGCCTCAGCCTCCTGAGTAGCTGGGACTACAGGCGTGCGCCACCACACCCAGCTAATTTTTGTATTTTTAGGAGAGGCGGGGTTTCACCATGTTGGCCAGGCTGATCTGGAACTCCCAACCTCAGGTGATCCACCCGCCTTGGCCTCCTAAAGTGCTGGGATTACAGGCGTGGGCCACCGCATCTGACCTTGTAACTTCTAAATATACTGAAAAAGGTATCGGGGACCCTCAGGGTCTGCAAACAACTTTGAGAATAGCTGACAAGCACTGCCTCAAATATTTCTAACAACTCGTTTACAGGCAAGGAGAATGAGGCCTGGAGAGCTTAAGAGACTGGCCCACGGAGGAAGCAGGAGTCATCTTTCCACAAAACTACACTTCCCCAAAAGCTGAACTCTTGGACAAGGAGCCCACTGCCAAACCTAAGAGTAACAAATTTCAGCAAATAAAAGGAAGTGCCATTTCCAATGGCATCCTCGAATACTCTAAGAGGCGGGGCTGGCAGAATCCATCAACAGGCCTCCAGAGGCCTGCTACTAAGAGCCAGCAACGCTGCTGAAAGCGGCACTGCCTCTGCAGGCTGTGTGACCAGGACCCGGCGGGGGCCCTGCACCTGGAAGCAGAGGGGGTCGGTGGGGGAGGGGTGCTACCAGGAAGCAAGATGTGCATGCTGCCTGCTGGGGGCATGAAGTCAAAGTCCCCTCCTGCCCAAAGTGGCTAGGCCAGCCCTAGGCTGCCTTATCAGCATCAACACATGCCTGGAATGTGGGACTTTGGCAACAACCCTCTCCCTTCGGCCAGCACGGGGCTGACGCCTGGTCCCTGGGCTCTGGTTCACAGTCAGAGGACAACCACCTTGAAGCACCAGAACCCGCACCCCCAGCCCATCTACCAGAAGACAATCTACCAAGAGTCACCGAGAGGAGCTATCCTGCCTGTGTCCCCACACCACCAAGGGCCGTGTCTGAGCACCTCGTTTGTCCACACTCAGAGAATCTCAAGAGCTCAGCTCTGGTCCCTGCAATGTCCAGACCATCCCCCACATGGCTCTCCTGGAGGTGTTCGGCAAAGGCACAGGCTGCCGTGGGGCAGAAGATTCCCACATACCAGACAGTAAGGAGCTGCGTGTGACTGGAAGGATGAGGACGACCCAGAGAATGCTCTCTGGCCCCTGGTCCTTGGGGAGGAATGGGGGACCTGCAGGGGACCACCTTCCCACTCTGGGAGCCAGATTCCCTGGCTTTGTCCAGAGCAGCCAACCCACTACCCCACTCAAAATGAACACCTCAGCTGCCCTCCAGCCCAAGCACTGCGCAGAGTAAGGAGTCCTCACTCACAAATGTGTCCGAGGCTTTCACACACTTCACCTGGAGCTTCGCCACTCACTTCTTAGATGTACGACTCTGACTTCTCTGAGCCACTTGTACAACGAGGACTGACAAGATGATGAGGACCACACCGGTGTGTTCTGACAACTGAACCGGGCATAGAATGCCCACTGCCAGGCTGAGCCCAGGAACGAGCCCAGGATGAGTGCTTACCCTCTTCACCACTACCTTCCTAGCCTTCTGTCAGAACTCCGTGGGGACCATCCTCTTCCCATCTTCTAAGCCAAGTACCCTGGTACAAGCCAGACAGAAACTATAATAGCAGCTGCTTCCATAAAGGGGAAGGGCCATGGGGTCCCGGACAGGGCTGGGGTGAAGGGGCACAAGACCTAGGGCAGGAATCCACCCCCAGATCACTCACTCAGGACAGGACCACCTGGACCCAGCTACCAAGATGTGCACCACCCCCTTCCTTCTGAGCCCCTTTTCCCATCTCCTCTACTGCCCCTGGCCAGGTTGCTGTCCCACCTCTAAGAGGCAAGATTTCCTACCCAGGATGCTGACCAAAACCACACCCAGGGGCCTACCCGTCCCCTCACATGATAGGCTGCTCCTAGCTGGCAGGAGCCGTCTTATAGCCTCTCTCCCTCAAATACAAACAAAACCCCAGAACAACCTATTGTTCTGTTCCAGCAAAGGGGGCCAGGCCCAGCCAGGCCCTACCTGAAGCTCTCTGTCTCCCGTCCCCCTTCAGTCCCCTCCCACTCGTCCTTCTCTGCCCCTATTAGTGGCCTCATATACCTTGTCCAGATAACACAGCCCAAGAAACCAACCTCAGGGACAAATCTCTTCTCTTCCAGGGAGAAGAAGACAGAGGTCCCAGGAGTCCCAGGGGCCCCCATTACTGGCCACCTCCGCTCAACCCAAACTGCACTATGTGAGGTCCCGCCAGACTACATACAGGCCAACGAGAGCCCAAGAATGCAGCCAGGAAACCAGGCCAGGCAGACTCCAAAAGCCCGTGCTACGGGGTCAGTAGGACCCGCCTACAGCTGAGGGCTATAGGCAGCTCTCCAGAGGACCTCCCAGGAGAAGCCAACAGTGCACATGGGCTAGGTTCCTCCTGCTGTTCACCCTCTGTGCCCAGTAACTACCCAGGAACAGGCATGACTGACTCTGCCAACTCATTCACTGGGTAACCGCTGACCCCACCAGGCCCTCGGAGTAAAGCAGTTAGTGAGAACCGCAGGTAAAAGCGCGGGCTACTCATCCCTCCGCCTGTGGATTCTATTATCAACAAAGATGCATCACCTGCTAGAAGAGCGGTTCTCAAACTTGGCTGCACATCAGGTTCACTTCAAAAGCTTCAGGAAAAGCTAGTGCCTTGGGCCCACCCCAGAGACAGGTATAGCTCAAGGTGAGAACCAGAGCACCAGCAGGCAGGCCTCTGCCAGGCAGCATGGGCAACGTGTGCTGGGTGAATGTGCGGCCTGCACTCATCACCCAGAAGAGCCCCACTGTGTCCACACAAGGACAGGCCACCGAAGTCCCAGTCCCCACTCTCCCTTCTCACTTACTTTGTGAATGAGAGCTCACCAACAGTTTACCGTCTTCCGAGTGCTGCGGCCTCACCGCCCGACCCGCAGCAGGGGTGAGGGCTTGCAAAGGCCATGCAACAGATCCTCCCCCTCAAAGGGGCTCAGGCCTCAGTGTGGTAATGGGAGCGGCCCCTTCCCACACTTGTCAGAGAACCCACCCACCCGGTGGAATGAAGCCGAAGCCCAAGCCGCAGGGCAACAGCCCGGGACGGCAGGGGACAAGTCTGTACAGCAGCCACACCCCTGCCAGAGCCAGGAGCTCTTCCATTTCCACAGCAGGCCAACTCTCACCTGGAAGCACCCACCTAACCAAACCCAATCCCTGCCTTCTTTTAGTCACACTGGGAACTGCCACAGGAAGGCTGGGGACTCCACATACTCCCTCCTCACCACACCCCATGTGTGATCACCCTTAAACAGAAAACATGCACCTAAGATCCTACGATGCGCTGCCCACCTCACAAAAAACCGGTGCCTCTAGGTAAGAGCACCTAGCTGACCCATCCCTGTTCCCTCTCACCATTAGAAGGACCCCCAAGTCCCCCTGTTCTAACACCGAGGCTGCACTCCCACTCTCCACCCACTAACATTACCATAAAAAATAAATTGAATAGTTAGAAGGAGGGGCTCCCCAAAGCCTGGCCACCTTCCCGAGGGTCCCAAGCAGTTTCTTGGAGTCCCTCTCCCCACTCAGTCCCGCCACACCCCTCTCAGGCAGTCTGGCCCTTCCCTCCTGAACTTTGGCGGGCTGGAACCAGCTCCCAGCCTCTCCTCCCTTATCAAGCTCACTGGGGGCCCACACAGAGCTCCCATCCCCACCAGCTTTTCTCGCTTTGCCACTCCCAGCTAAAACTGGGCTCAAGGCAAGCAAGCCTGCAGTCCCTCAGTCCCTCGGGGCCCAGCCCCTCCTCAGAGCCCTCCCCCAGCCCAGGTCCCTAACCCTTAGGGCAAGGCCCCTCCCAGCAGGAAGCGAACCCTGGCGGTGCCAGGCAGAGTCAAACTGGAAGGGCTGGTTCAGAAGCCCCTAAATGGGAGCCAGGACCTCTCTTAGGGAGGGGGCTTTCAGCCCCATCCTCCCTAGTGCGATCTCAGATCTCTCCAGACACCACACTATATGGGCCTCCACAGGCGGTGGAGTCAAAGGCATTTACCCTCCAGCCCCCAGCAAGCTACTTAACTTCCAAAAGCAGCTCCTTCCCTCCTCCAGAGGAGAACGGGCCGCGTGCTGAACTGCAAGCGCCTCTATCACCCCGCCCAGGCAAGTCTGTGAGCACCAGAAAGCAGGGGCCAACATGACTTGGTCTAAACCAAGGGGGCCAGGCACTGACTTTGCGCTCAGAAAATGTGGCGGAATGAATAAAAAGCTTGAAAAAGAGCCGCATACATGCCTGGCTGGCAGTGGGGTCTCCCAAGCGGGCTTCACAGCTCACACAGTACCCGTGGGTCCGCGTCCTCAGTGCTCTCCAGCTGTCTCCACTGCCACCCTCTACCCTACCACTGCCTTTTAAAACCCAGTAGCAGTCACTTCCTGGTTAAAACCCCTCCCCTCCAGGCCAACCCCAACCCACATGGCATCCAGGGTTCTCAGCCAGCCCACGGCCGGCTCCTCCCACGCCACCGCTATGCCCTCTGCGCTCCGCTAGATGCCAGCCCTTATCACCCCATCTTATAATCATTTGTTGAGTGTCTGCCTTCCCTAGGCTGAGCTCCAGAAAACAGCGATACATGAATGTAAACTCCAGTTCTGTTCCCATTGTAGAAACGAGGCAGGAGAGTCAATCACTGCTCAAGGTCATGACGGGAGTAAATGGCAGAGCCAGCAATGCACTACAGACTTTGCGACCGACCAAGTCCAGTTCCCCTCTCACTGCCCCACAGGGGTCCGTCCTAGGCCAGGCTCGGAGGAGACAAGAAGGGAGGAACCCAATGTGTTCTTTCTTCCCGCGGTGAAAGCTGCCTCCCAGGCCAGCAAGAGCAGCCCAGAAGAAGTGCCCCACTCTCCCAGGGATCAGGTACTGGGGGCAGCGGGCAGGACAAGGTATGGGGTGGGGCTGACTGCTCCAGGCCAACAGACCAAGCAATAAGGTTGGAACCACAAGTCCCCTGGGTAAACTGAACTTTATTCCTTCCTCACGGCTCTCACTCTCCAGAACTGCCCCGCCAGCTCTTCTCCAGGGGCTGGCTGCTGATTAAATGGCACTTCCCCACCCCTCAGATCTGACCCCGCAAACAATAAGGACTTGAGGGGAGGCGGCAGGCTATCAGCTCAATAATGCAAAACCCTGTTGCTCCTCGTCCACAACAGCTGACTTCAAGTGGATGGGAGGCTGCGCTTATTAACAAAATGAGAAATCTGATCTACGGAAAGAAAACACTACGTGAGGATTAATCCGCGACTGCAGCTTGTGGAGAAGGCTGGGCTGCTGGCCAAGACCAAGGATCGAGGATGGGATCGTGCCTACCTGTCCCCAGAGCAGGTATCATGCAGCACAACAGGACTCATCACCCCTGCCCCACCTGCGCCTTCTCTTCTCCTTCCAGCAACTTCGACAATCATTTCGGTTTTGCTTTAATTAAAGGCCTGACTCCCTCGGGCTGCTTCTTCCTCTACACAGAGGCAGCAACCAGAGGGAGATTTTTCTTTTCAGGAATCGGTCGTAAAAACTCAGTGACTAATCTACAAGTTCCAACAACTGGCAGAAAAACACCGCAGGGAGAGGTTGCTGGGCACACAGCAGCACTCAGAGCCAACTGACCAGAGAAGCTGGGCCACAGGCACTCTACTACAACCTCCCTCCCCCAGCCCGACACTGGCCTGCCGACCCACCTGAGAGCTCTGACCTCCCAAGGCAGGCAGCTGGGGAGCCTCTTCCCAGCCTTCCAAGTCTACTGCTCGTCCTGTGGGACCCAGAGATCTTCACAGTCTCAATGGCACAAGACGGAACGTTCACTTCCAGGCAACAATCCTGGGCCACAGGACTCAGTTCAGCCCCCAAGTATCAGACTCCCGGCCCTGTTCTTGGTGTTCAGAGCCCACTAAACCAGCAGTCTTGCCACACAGCTTTGTCTCCAGAGGCCAGCTCATCTGCTTTTTTTCACACTACTCCAGCAACCCTGCTCCACCAAGCACGCACACTCTCCTTGACACAGGGCTCCAGACCAACCACATGGCCTGTGCTCCTGAAAATGCCTGCCTGAAGGCCCAGGGAGTCCAGACACTGGCAGATGAGAATGGACGAAAAGAAGCCAAGCCAGAAGCCAGGAAGCAATAAATGCTAGACCCAGAAAGGCCTTAGGTTTGAGTGACCCAGCTCCATCCCTCCATCCTGGATCCTTGGAGGACAGCCCCAAGTTCAGCCTAGGAGCTCCCAAGGCCCCTCCACTACCTGCCAGCTCTCCGACAGCACAAGAGACACAGCAATCCCACATCAGTCAACAACCCACCGCCACAGGATTCCTAGGGGCAAGGCTCTGCCCCTCCCCCCAGCACATATGTCAGAGGGGTGGCTTCCCTGGGTTACACCCCTCCTGCTGTTGGGGGAGTGGGGGGTCGGGGAACACAGCTTTCCAGATGTGCTTGGCAACTCCTACTAGAAAAGACTAGGGGTGCGGGGGACAGGAGAAGACATGGATAAATAACTTTAACACCGCTCCAACCCATCCGGCTCAGCACTGGGCTCCCTTACACAGGCAGTCCCAGGCAGTTCTGGGTGGGGCCGTTGGGAGCATTATCTGGCCTCATTCCCTCCTCTCAGCAAGTCACTGCCCCCCAGGGAGAGGCATTCCCCCCCCCCCCCAACCACGCACACACCCAGGCCTGTGTGAATATGAACCATCTTGGAAGATAAACAGAGAGTGACAAGCTGGGGCCCCTCAGCCCCCTCCCTCAGCCAGCCGGTCCCTTCCCCCTGAAAGCCGACCCCCTCCCCCAAGCCCATCTCTCTTCCTGCCAAGCGGCTGCCTACAGGAGAGGTCTGGGGGCAGGGCAGCGAGCCCACCAGCCGCAGAGCCCGGCCCTCTGGGAGCGGCCCCTCCAGGCCCGCCCCTGCCCCTGCCGTGGCCAGTCTTCCCGCGGGGAGGAGGCAAGAGGAGAGGAGACCGCAGACGGTGCAGGACCGCAGTCCTGGAAATCGCAAAATCCTCTAGCGAGGGGGCGGCCGCGGGCGCAGGGCCGTTTGCATAATGGGAGCCCTCCCGCCTGTCAGGCAGCGCAGCTCGCCCGACGCTGTTCGGATTAGATTGCTAATGAAAAGGCACAAAGAGCCGGCGCCCGCTCGCCCGCCGACCCCCGCTCCGCAGACCCGCGCCGCCTGGGCCTGGCGCGGCCCGGTGGGCTTTGTGCCCCGGGTGCCCCACCGCCCGCGCCCCTCCGGGCATCTGGCCCACAAAGCCCGGGCCTGCCAGGGGTCCCGCGTGCGCCCCAGCCCAGGCCCGCCAGACGCTAGCGCGTCCCCCACGCGCGCAGTCCCACGTCGCCCGGGCGCGCGCGCGTCCACGCCCCTCTCCCCGGGGACGCGCCCAGCCCGCGGCCCCGGCCCCCGCCCGCTCCCCGCGACCCCCGCCCCCCAAGGCCGCCCCTCACCTCGTGTGCGTCGGCGGCGGCGCTCCGCCCGCCGGCCGGCCGGCCCTACCAGCGGCCCTTGTCCTCAGCGCCCGGCTCGCGCCGCACGCGCCCGCCCCGTCCGCCTGCCGCCAGCCCGGCTCGGCTCCCCGCCTAGCGCGCCCCGAGCGCCGCTCACAGCCGCCCGCCCAGCGCCATCTTGGAAGCTTGTGACGTCGGCGCCGCCCGCTCACCCCTGACCCACATCTGAATGGGCGAGCGGCGGGGCGGGGACAGGGGGCAGCTGGGGGCGTGGCCTGTGAACAGGGGCGGGGCCTCGGGGGCGGGGCCGGGCCGGACAGCGGTCCCAGCACTAGGCGGGCGGGCTGCCGGGGTCCGGCGCCGTGGGGAAGGGGTGCGCGGGAGGAGACGGGGACCCAGACCCCGGACATCTAACCGGACTCCGACCTCAAGCGCCAGGGCAGGACCGCGACCTCGCCCCTGAAATACCCGAACCGCATACCGGCCCCCGGGACAGGGACCCTGGCCCCCCCCGACAGGCTGACGCCCACCCCCTCAAACTCTGGTGGACTTACCCCCTTTTAGCCCTACCCTGACCCCTAGGAGCCCCGAATTAGGGACCTCTATCGGCCTACGCGCCCCCTCCCCGACCCCTTTGCGACCCCTGCTCGACGCTCCCTGCGGTTGCCCGAGGCTCAAAGGCGCAGCCAGCAGTGACTGCAAGCTCGGGGGTCTGGGCTCCTGGGGAAGCCCGGGCTGGTTGGGTGCAAAAGAGAAGGGGCGCCCCTCCCGTGACCCCAGCGCCCCTCGGGCCCCCGCGGGCGCACCCCCGCGAACCCTACCTGCTCCGAGGGCGCGGAGGACCCAGCACGCTGCGCTCAGCCAGCCCCTTCCGGTGGCCGCAGCCCCTCGCAGGCCCCAGGGGTCAAGCGCCTGCCCGAGCCGGCCCACCAGGACCCGGGCTCCCGGCCGCCATGCAGATAGCCTTCCCAGGGGCTGGGCTGGCCTGAGCCGCCACTGCTTCTCTAGGGAGCTAGTTAATGGACCTCTCTCTACTTTGAACACCAAACAAAGGAACACACCGCTATCGAGGTCGCCCAAGTCCAAGAGGAGCCCAGGTCTGCCTTACAGGGAAGTTGTGCCCCAGCTCCAGTCAAGATCAAAAACCAGTTTCAATAACCCTTCGCCAAGCTGATGATGCAACCTTTCTTTCCTAATGGATGTATAGGTTTAATGTCATCCTAACAACATTTCTTAGACTTCACAAAATTCTAAGTTCACCTGGAAAAATAAATAGCCGAAAACAGCTATGGTTTTCCCCCCTTGGGAACAAAAGCAGGCATGAGGGTAGACTTGCCCTAACAGATATCAAAACAAATTGTAAAGCTACCGCAGGCATTTCAGTGTGGTACAGAACAGGAAATAGAATAGAAAGCCTAGAAACATCCTAGAAATGGTAAGAACACAATAGATGAAAAAGGAAATATCAAACATCTGTGGAAAAAAAAGAGCTATCAAACATCCCTGAAGAAGAACAAGAATATTCCACAAATAGAGCCTAGCAGAGGACTCACTATTTGAAGGAACGACTGAAAAAAAAAGTCAACCATTCTACTAACCCAAGACATATAAATTAAAACTATAGGCCGGGCGCGGTGGCTCACGCCTGTAATCCCAGCACTTTGGGAGGCCAAGGCGGGCGGATCACGAGGTCAGGAGATCGAGACCATCCTGGCTAACACGGTGACACCCCGTCTGTACTAAAAATACAAAAAATTAGCCAGGCGAGGTGGCGGGCGCTTGTAGTCCCAGCTACTCGGGAGGCTGAGGCAGGAGAATGGCGTGAACCCCGGGGGGCGGAGCCTGCAGTGAGCCGAGATCGTGCCACTGCACTCCAACCTGCGCGACAGCGAGACTCCGTCTCAAAAAAATAAATAAATAAATAAAATAAAACTATAAGAAGCTGGGTTTTCTCCTAAACAAATTAAAAATCAGTTTCAAGTGATAACCTTCAAACACAAGGTCTGATAGGTAATCACTCTCATATACTTTTGGAAGCACATAAATCACCTCAAAATTCCTGGACATGAGTTTGGCGGTATGAGCCAAAAGTTGTTTTTTTGGGGTTCTTTTGTCTTTTTTTGTTTTTTGGAGACTCGGAGTCTCACTCTGTTGCCCAGGCTGGAGTGTAGCCTCAAACTCCTGGGATCAAGTGATCCTCCTGCCTTCCAAAGTGCTGGGATTACAGGCATAAGCCAACGCACCTGGCCCCAAAAATATTTTAAAATAATTATACCCTCTCAGACCAGTATTCCAGGATTCTGTTCTGGGGAAATTAGCCACGTTTGCAGACCACGTACTTATTATCTGTCTCTCTACCCATAAGTAAGTTTGTACCTGTAAGTTTGGAACCCATGCCTAGGAGCACACCTGAGACAACAGGCATTCCACGGTCCCTTGTTTCATCTGCATTTGAAAACTAATGTGGCTGGCTCATGCCTGTAATCCCAACACTTTGGGAGGCCAAGGCCGGCAGATCGCCTGAGGTCAGGACTTTGAGACCACCCTGGCCAACATGGTGAAACCCCGTCTCTACTAAAAATACAAAAATTAGCCGGATATCGCGGTGCATGCCTGTAGTCCCAATTACTCGGGAGGCTGAGACAGGAGAATTGCTTGAATCTGGGAGGCTGAGGTTGCAGTGAGCTGAGATCATGCCATGACACTCCAGCCTGGGCAACAGAGGGAGACTCGGTCTCAAAAAACAACAAAAAAGATAACTAATATATGATAATATTTTTTAAGTGTCATGTATAATAGTGAAAGAAAGCATATACAGGCGGTGGCTCACGCCTGTAATCCCAGCACTTTGGGAGGCTGAGGCGGGAGGATCACCTGAGGTCAGGAGTTTGAGACCAGCCTGGCCAACATGGTAAAACCCCGTTTCTACTGAAAATACAAAATTAGCTGGGCATGGTGGCGTATGCCTGTAATCCCAGCTACTTGGGAGGCTGAGGCAGGAGAATTGCTTGAACTCCAGAGGCGGAGGTTGCAGTGAGCTGAGATCCTGCCATTGCACTCCAGCCTGGGCAACAGAGCAAGACTCCGTATCAAAAAAAAAAAAGAAAAAAGCATATACAAATTTCTCACAATGGGGTTAAATAGTCCACATAATGGAATGTAGATTAGGCCAGGAGTAGTGGCTCATGCCTGTAATCCCAACACTTTGGGAGGCCGAGGCGGGCAGATCACCTGAGGTCGGGAGTTCGAGACCAGCCTGACCATTATGGTGAAACCCCGTCCCTACTAAAAATACGAAAAGTTAGCTGGGCGTGATTGCGCATGCCTGTAATCCCAGCTACTCGGGAGGCTGAGGTAGGAGACTTGCTTGAACCCGGGAGGCGGAGATTGCGGTGAGCTGAGATCGCACCATTGCACTCCAGCCTGGGCAACAAAAGTGAAACTCCGTCTCAAAAAAAAAATTAGCCAAGCATGGTGTCACATGCCTGTAGTCCCAGCCACTCAGCAGGCTGAGGCGCAGCACGAGAGTTGCTTGAACCTGGGAGGCAGAGGTTGCAGTGAGCCGAGGTGGTGCCACTGCACTCCAGCCTGGGCGACAGAGTGGGACTCCATTTTAAAAAAATAAATAGGCCAGGCGCGGTGGCTCACGCCTGTAATCCCAGCACTTTGGGAGGCCCAGGCAGGTGGATCACGAGGTGAGGAGTTCAACACCAGCCTGGCCAAGATGGTGAAACCCCGTCTCTACTAAAAATACAAAAATTAGCCAGGCATGGTGACGGGCACCTGTAATCCCAGCTATTCGGGAGGCTGAGGCAGAGAATCGCTTGAACTCAGGAGGCGGAGGTTGCAGTGAGCCCAGATCACACCACTGCACTCCAGTCTGGGCGACAGAGTGAGACTCGGTCTCAGAAAATAAATAAATTAATAAATAAATAAATTAAATTAGTAGGATGGGCACGGTGGCTCACTCCTGTAATCCCAGCACTTTGGGAGGCCGAGGCGGGTAGATCACCCAAGGTCAGAAGTTTGAGACCAGCCTGGCCAACATGGTAAAAGCCCGTCTCTACTAAAAATACAAGATTAGCCAGGCATGGTGACGTATGCCTGTAATCCCAGCTACTTGGGAGGCTGAGGCAGGAGAATTGCTTGAGCTCCAGAGGCGGAGGTTGCAGTGAGCTGAGATCCTGCCATTGCACTCCAGCCTGGGTGACAAGAGTGAAACTCCGTCTCCAATAATAATAATAATAATAATAATAAAGTAAATTTTTAATTAAAAAATAAAATTTTTATTTATTTATTTATTGAGACAGAGTCTCACTCTGTCATCCAGGCTGGAGTGCAGTGGCATCATCTCAGCTTGCTGCAACCTCTGCCTCCCAGGTTCAAGCAATTCTCTGCCTCAGCCTCCTGAGTAGCTGGGATTACAGGCGCCCACCACCACACCCAGCTAATTTTTGTATTTCTAGTACAGACGGGGTTTCACCATCTTGGCAAGGCTGGTCTGGACCTCTTGACCTCATGATCTACCCGCGTTGGCCTCCCAAAGTGCTGGGATTACAGGCGTGAGCCACTGCGCCCAGCCAAAAATAATTTAAAAAAAAAAAAAAAAGAAGAGGCCAGGTGCAGTGGCTCACGCCTGTAATCCCAGCACTTTGGAAGACTGAGGCAGGAGGATCACTTGAGGTCAGGAGTTCGATACCAGCCTGGCCAACATGGTGAAACCCCATCTCTACTAAAAATACACACAAAAATATTAGCCAGGCATGGTGGCACACCCCTGTAGTCCCAGCTACTCGGGGGACTGAGGCAGGAGGATCACTTGAACCCAGGAGGTGGACGTTTCAGTGAACCAAAATCACACCACTGCACACTCCAGCCTGGTCAACAGAGCTAGACCCTGTCTTAAAAAAAATTGTATTTTTTGTACAAAAAAATTAGCCGGGCCTGGTGGCAGATGCCTGTAGTCCCAGCTACTCAGGAGGCTGAGGCAGGAGAATGGCGTGAAAACCTGGGAGGCGGAGCTTGCAGTGAGCCAAGATTACGCCACTGCACTCCAGCCTGGGCGACAGAGCGAGATTCCGCCTCAAAAAAAAATTTTTTTTTAATTGCATTTTTTAAATGCATGCAAAAATATTGATATATGGAAAAGCAACTGAAGAAAATAAATCAAAAATATTTACGGAGGTTCTCTCTGGAAGTTGGGAATTTTTTTTCTACACATGTATACTTTAGCGTGTGTGTTATTTTTATTTTATGAAAGTAACATTTCTAATCGGAACAATTCTAGAGATGCTGAAGCACATTTTATTTTTATTTTATTATTTATTTTTGAGACAGAGTCTAGCTCTGTTGCCCAGGCTGGAGCACAGTGGCGTGATTATGGCCCACTGCAGCCTCCACTTCCTAGGCTCAAGTGATTCTCCCAGCTGGGACTACAGGCATGCACCACCACACCCGGCTAATTTTTTATTTTCTGTAGAGACAGGGTCTCACTATGCTTCCCAGGCTGAACTCAAACTCCCAGACTCAAGCAATTCTCCCACCTCAGCCTCCCAAAGTGCTGGGATTACAAGCATGAGACACCATGCCCGGTAATTTTTTTTTTTTTTTTGTGCAGATGGAGTCTCGCGCTGTCACCCAGGCTGGAGTGCAGAGGCGCGATCTCCGTTCATTGCAACCTCCGACTCCCGGGTTCAAGCGATTCTCCTGCCTCGGCCTCCCAAGTAGCTGGGATTACAAGTGAGCACCGCCACACCAAGCTAATTTTTGTAGTTTTAGTAGAGATGGGGTTTCACCATGTTGCCAGGGTTGTCTCGATCTATTGACCTCGTGATCTGCCCACCTCGGCCTCCCAAAGTGCTGGGATTACCGGCGTGGGCCACCGTGCCCAGCCCATGCCCAGCAATTTTTTAAAGTTAAATTCTCCCTCCTCCTCCACCCTAATCAGTCCTTTCTGAAGTAACATTAACAGTTTAACTCTCTTCTCTGACATCAATATGTATCTACTCACCTTACAAAAAAGATCCTACTATTTTGAAATCATAGACATTTTTCTAGTTCATTTCCATAATTCATTCTTTTTTTTTTTTTTCATGTCAGACGGGTAATGTGCCTATGTCGTAACAAGATTTGAAGGTGGCGGCCGGGCGCGGTGGCTCACGCCTGTAATCGCAGCACTTTGGGAGGCCAAGGCGGGCGGATCACGAGTTCAGGAGATTGAGACCATCCTGGCTAACACAGCGAAACCCCATCTCTACTGAAAATACAAAAAAATTAGCCGGGCGTGGTGGCGGGTGCCTGTAGTCCCAGCTACTCAGGAGGCTGAGGCAGGAGAATGGCATGAACCCGGGAGGCGGAGCTTGCAGTGAGCCAAGATCGCGCCACTGCACTCCAGCCTGGGTGACGGAGCAAGACTCCCTCTTAAAAAAAAAAAAAAAAATATTTGAAGGTGGCACATCTTACATGGGAACGTGTGTGAACACATAATCATCATGCTTATGAACTACAAAAGGATCATAATTCATTCTTTAAGAGCTGACAAATGTTCCAGAGTATGGAGCTTCTGTAATTTATTCACACTTCGTTAACCATGGTTGTTCAGTTTATTTACAGTGTGGTGCTTTTTGTTTTCTTTTTTCTTTGTTCTTTTTTTTTTTTTTTTTTTTTGAGATGGAGTCTTGCTCCTGTCACCCAGGCTAGAGCGCAATGGCACAATCTTTGCTCACTGCAACCTCCACCTCCCGGGTTCAAGCAATTCTCCTGCCTCGGCCTCCTAAGTAGCTGGGATTACAGGTATCTGCCACCATGCCTGGCTAATTTTTGTATTTTTCGTAGAGACGGGGTTTCACCATGTTGGCCAGGCTGGTCTTGAACTCCTGACCTCAAGTGATCCACCCGCCTCAGCCTCCCTAAATGCTGGGATTACAGGTGTGAGCCACCGCACCCAGCCTACACTGTGGTGCTATTAAAAAATATTTTTAGGCTGGGCACAGTGGCTCACACCTCTAATCCCAGCACTTTGGGAGGCCGAGGCAGGTGGATCACTTGAGGCCAGGAGTTTGAGACCAGCCTGGTGATCATGAAGAAACCCTGTCTCTACTAAAATATTAGCCAGGCATGGTGTCACATACGGATAATCCCAGCTACTCGGGAGTCTGAGGTGGGAGAATCACTTGAACTAGGGAGGCAGACGTTGCAGTGAGTTGAGATCATGCCACTGCACCCCAGGCTGGACAACAGAGCGAGACCTCGTCTTAAAGTAATTAATTAATTAATTAATTAATTAATTAATATAAATAAAATAGCAGATTTCAAAAATTTGTTCTCCCTGGCAGCAACCCAGTAAAGCTAGATCTGGGCGGAAGGTAATATGGAAATATAAAAACTACAGATTAGCAGGGATGGGAAGACCCGCCAGAAATGGGTTCATTTTGTGTCCTCACTCCCTCCGGATTCTCTGTGTGTCTAGTCCAAGATCTAACCACTATGATCTGCTTTCCTCATCCATTTGGGAATCAGGGCACCACCCCCTTGGGAGGCTTGAATGACATGAGGTTGAGCAGGCAGAGCACGGAACTCAGGCTCTGGTGAGCCCTGGTACAGTGACTATGATTGTTGTGTCATGTAGGAAGGGTCTGTTATTTTACCATTATCTGTTTTCAATAAAAAACAGAAAGAAAACAAATATACAAAATACCCCCAAACAGTAAATTTCAGCTTCTTACTATGACAGCTAGATTTAGCATTTAACAGTATGCCCAAATTTGAATTTCGGATAAACAACCAATAATGCTTAATATAAGTATGTCCCGGCCGGGCGCGGTGGCTCACGCCTGTAATCCCAGCCCTTTGGGAGGCCGAGGCGGGCGGATCACGAGGTCAGGAGATCAAGACCATCCTGGCTAACACGGTGAAACCCCGTCTCTACTAAAAATACAAAAAATTAGCCGGGCGCGGTGGCGGGCGCCTGTAGTCCCAGCTACTCGGGAGGCTGAGGCAGGAGAATGGCGTGAACCCCAGGAGGCGGAGCCTGCAGTGAGCTGAGATCGTGCCACTGCACTCCAGCCTGGGTGACAGCGAGACTCCGTCTCAAAAAAAAAAAAAAAAGTATGTCCCATACAATATCACTTCTCACCTTCCCATATCCCAAGCTCAAGACACCTTATATACGCCATGATTTCTCCTGCCATCTCTGGGCATTCACACCAGGGCTCCTCCTGTCCAGGCCAGCCTTCTCCCTTCTCCCACCTGTGCCTGGTGAACAACTCAGTTCAGACATCATCTCTTGTAGGAAGTCTCCTGTGATCCCAGGCTAATCACCCTGATACAGTCCTGAAATACTGCTGAGCAGTTGGCATGAGGGCAGGAAGGCTTGGTCTTGTTCACTCTTGTATCCAGCTTATACATGGCACAAAGTAGGTTCTCAATTAAAAGTCAAATGAGGGGCCAGGTGCAGTGGCTCACGCCTGTAATCCCAGCACTTTAGGAGGCCAAGGCGGGTAGATCACCTGAGGTTGGGAGTTCGAGACCAGCCTGGCCAGCATGGTGAAACCCCATCTCTACTAAAAGTACAAAAATTAGCCAGACGTGGTGGCAGGCACCTGTAATTCCAGCTACTCGGGAAGCTGAGGCAGGAGAATCACTTGAACCCGGGAGGGAGAGGTTGCAGTGAGCCAAGATTGCGCCATTGCACTCCAGCCTGGGCAACAGAGCAAGACTCCATCTCAAAAAAAAAAAAAAAGTCAAATGAAGTCGGGCACAGTGGTTCGCGCCTGTAATCCCAGCACTTTGGGAGACTGAGGCAGGAGGATCACCTGAGGTCAGGAGTTCGAGACCAGCCTGGCCAGCATATGAAATCCTGTCTCCACTAAAAATACAAAAAAAAAAAAAAAAAAAATAGCTGGGTGTGGTAATGCACGCCTGTAATCCCAGCTATTTGGGAAGCCGAGGCAGGAGAATTGCTTGAACCCGGGACACAGAGGTAACAGTGAGGTGAGATCATGCAACTGCACTCCAGCCTGGGCTACAGAGCAAGACTCTGTCTCAAAAAAAAAAAAAAAAAGTCAAATGAGACCACTCATGGTAGCTGGCGCCTATAATCCCAGCACTCTGGGAAGCCAAGGCGGGAGGATTGCTTGAGTCCAGGAGTTTGATACCAGCCTGGGCAAAACAGTGACATCTCATCTCTACAAAAAATTTTTAAAATTAGCCGGGCATGGTGGCACTCGTCTATAGTACTAGCTACTTGGGAGGCTGAGGTGGGAGGATTGCTTGAGCCCAAGAATTCGAGGTTGCAGTGAGCTATACTTGCGCCATTGTACTATAGCTGGGCAACAGCCAGACGCGGCCTCAAAAAAAAAAAAATTTTAGCCGGGCTTGGTGGCATGTACCTATAGTCCCAGCTACTCAGAAGCTAAGACAGGAGGATCATTTGAGCCCAGGAATTTGACGCTGCAGTAAGCCAAGGTCACACCACTGCACTCCCGCCTGGGAGACTGAGTGAGACCCTGAGTCTAAAACAAATAATAATAAAAACGAAAATGAAAGTCAAATGAATGAGGCCAGGGGTGGTGGCTCATGCCTGTAATCCTAGCACTTTGGAAGGCTGAGGTGGGTGGGTCAGCTGAGCCCTGGAGTTACAGACCAGCCTGGGCAACATGGCGAAACCCTGTCTCTACAAATACAAAAAAGAAAAAAGCCAGGCCCATGGTGGTGAGTGCTTGAAGTCCCAGCTACTCAGGAGGGTGAGGTGGGAGAATAGCTTGAGCTCAGGAGGTCAAGGCTGCAGTGAGCTGAGATTGCATCACTGCAGCCTAGCCATGATGACAGGGCAAGACCCAGTAGAAAACCAAGGTTAGAGAGGTTAAGTCACCTGCCCAAGGTCCGTAGCTAACCTCAGACTCCAGCCCCTCAGACTGACATGAGCTCAGTTCACCCTCTTAGGAACACCATCTGAAGAATGCATCCCCAGCAAGCCTATTCCCTATAGCAAAGGCCAGGCCTGTGATGGGTGCCCCGCTCCTCACCACACACCTCCCTGTCAAGTCACCACTCCTTCACCCCTAGCAGAGCCAGGCACCTTGAGCCCAAGGGAGGCCACTCATGGAACTGTCATTCAACCAACAGATGCTGACAGCAATGATGAGGTGGGCACTGGGCTAGTGAACAGCACAGATGTGTTCCCTGGCCTCAGAAGCCCACAGACTAAGGAGAAGACGACAGAATACTCACAAGGGTGCTGGGGCTGGGCAAAAAGGTGCAGGCTGCTTTGTCTGGTCATAAGAGGGGAACTGACTTCCCTGGTCTGAGGAGCCAAGGAAGGGGCCGTGCCCTTGCCATGCCCTCTGCCTGCCATGCCTTGCTGTTCTTCAGTGCCTGCTCTAAGGTCACTCCTAGTGTGGTTTTCTCTGGCTGCTCTTTTTTTTTTTTTTTTTTTTTGAGACAGAGTCTCGCTTTGTCACCCAGGCTGGAGTGCAGTGGCACCATCTTGGCTCACAGCAACCTCCGCCTCCTGAGTTCAAGTAATTCTCCTGTCTCAGCCTCCTGAGTAGCTGGGACTACAGGTGTGCACCACTACGCCCAGCTAATTTGTGTATTTTTAGTAGAGACGGGGTTTCACCATATTGGTTGGCCAGGATGGTCTCAATCTCTTGACCTCCAGATCAACTCCCCTTGGCCTCCCAAAGTGCTGGGATTACAGGCGTGAGCCACCGCGCCCGGCCACTTTTTTTTTGGAGTCTCGCTCTGTCCCCCAGGCTGGAGTGCAGTGGCGCGATTTCGGCTGACTGCCAGCTCCGCCTCCCGGGTTCACGCCATTCTCCCACCTCAGCCTCCCGAGTAGCTGGGACTACAGGCGCCCGCCACCACGCCTGGCTAATTTTTTGTATTTTTAGTAGAGACGGGGTTTCACCCTGTTAGCCAGGATGGTCTTGATCTCCTGACCTTGTGATCCGCCCGCCTCGGCCTTCCAAAGTGCTGGGATTACAGGCTTGAGCCACCACGCCTGGCCTCTTTTTCTTTTTTGTTGAGACAGATTCTCACTCTGTCGCCCCCAGGCTGGAGTGCAATGGCGCAATCTTGGCTCATTGCAACCTTGGCCTCCTGGGTTCAAGCAATTCTCTGCCTCAAGCCTCCCGAGTAGCTGAGATTACAGGCGCCCACCACCACACCCGGCTCATTTTTGTGTTTTTAGTAGAGACAGGGTTTCACCATCTTGGCCAGACTGGTCTTAAACTCCTGACTTCGTGATCTACCAGCCTCGGCCTCCCAAAGCGCTGGGATTACAGGCTTGAGCCACCGCACCTGGCCATGCTCTTTCTTTTTTATTTGTATTTTTATCTGTTTCTTAGAGACAGGGTCTCACTCTGTCATCCAGGCTGGAGTGCAGTAGTGTAATCATAACCCACTGCAGCCTCAAACTCATGGGCTCAAGGGATCCTCCTGCCTCAGTCTCCCAAGCAGCTGGGACTACAGGTGTGCACCACTATGCCCAGCTATTTTTTTTTTTTTTGAGACAGAGTCTCGCTCTGTCGCCCAGGCTGGAGTGCAGTGGTGCCATCTCGGCTCACTGCAACCTCTGCCTCCTGGGTTCAAGTGATTCTCTGCCTCAACCTCCTCAGTAGCTGGATTACAGGTACCTACCACCATGCCAAGCTAATTTTTGTATTTTTTTTTTTTTTTGAGATGGAGTCTTGCTCTGTCACCCAGGCTGGAGTGCAGTGGCGCAATCTCGGCTCACTGCAAGCTCCACCTCTCAGGTTCACGCCATTCTCCTGCCTCAGCCTCCCGAGTAGCTGGGACTACAGGTGTCCGCCACCATGCCCGGCTAATATTTTGTATTTTTAGTAGAGACGGGGTTTCACCGTGTTAGCCAGGATGGTCTCAATCTCCTGACCTCGTGATCCGCTGGCCTCGGCCTCCCAAAGTGCTGAGATTACAGGCGTGAGCCACCGTGCTCGGCCTAATTTTTGTATTTTCAGTAGAGACACGGTTTCACCATCTTGGCCAGGCCGGTCCTGAACTCTTGACCTCATGATCCACCGGCCTCGGCCTCCCAAAGTGTTGGGGTTATAGACGTGAGCCACCGTGTCTGGCCTGGCTCCACTTTCTTAGGGAGCTTTGCTTGCCCTCTGCTTGGGGTAGTTTGTGAATTCAGTGCTCTCTCTCTCCCAGGTCCTGGGTCTCCTGCTCCTGATCAATCTGCCACGTGCCATTTGATCTCAGAGTTGTCTCCACCATTAGACTGGCAGGGTCTGTCTTCTGGGGTCTGTGTGTAGGATACAGTGGCCCCAGGATGGGTAAAGGAGGGGACCCAGTTGTTCTTCTGTGATAGGTGGAGACAAGGGCCAGCAGGGCTGTTTCTCGGTGAAACCCATGGGGAGATAGTCGAACCAGGAACCAAATCCGGCCGGGCGCGGTGGCTCACGCCTGTAATCCCAGCACTTTAGGAGGCCGAGGTGGGCGGATCACCTGAGTTCGGGAGTTGGAGACCAGCCTGACCAATATGGTGAAACCCCATCTCTACTAAAAAAAAATATATACATATATATACAAAATTAGCCTGGCGTGGTGGCACATGCCTGTAATCCCAGCTACTCGGGAGGCTGAGGCAAGAGAATCACTTGAAACTGGGAGGCAGAGGTTGCGGTGAGCCAAGATCGCACCATTACACTCCAGCCTGGGTGACAGAGACTCAGTCTCCAAAAAAAAAAGTCCAAAAATTAAAAAAAAAAAAAATGCCGAACTCAGTGGCTCACGCCTATGATCCTACCACTTTCAGAGGCCGAGGCGGGCACGGTGGCGCGTACCTGTAATCC
Organism: Homo sapiens; assembly: GCF_000001405.40. Lineage (NCBI taxonomy): Eukaryota > Metazoa > Chordata > Mammalia > Primates > Hominidae > Homo > Homo sapiens. The sequence goes on from NC_000022.11 coordinate 18,590,588, forward strand.
CAGCTACTCCGGAGGCTGAGGCAGAAGAATCACTTGAACCCGGGAGGCAGAGGTTGCAGTGCGCTGAGATCGTGCCACTACACTCCAGTGTGGTGACAGAGCGAGACTTGGTCTCAAAAAAAAAAAAAAGTCCTGGCTGTGCCACTAGGCCAGACGCCCTAGAACTGACTTCTATGGACCTCAGTTTTCATACCTGTGAAATGGAACTCAGAGCCATATCTACTTCATTGGGTTGTGTGAATGTGAGGTAGTTACAGGATGGAGCAGGCAGAAGGTCAGCACAGCCTCAGTGGTTGGAGGAGTGGGGGTCAAGTGGACAGAGAGGGTACCCCAGGGCCAGAGGTAGAGGCAAGGTGAAGCAATGCTTCATTTCCCTGCTGAGGTTCCTCTCTAGCAGTTTGGAGGTGGGGCAGGAGTGGAGAAAACACATCCCCTCCTCAATATGGGCTGAGGAACAGGGTTCTTGAGGCACCAAGAACCTCTTTGGGGCTCTGGCTTGCCTCCTGTAGTGAAAGGGATGGGCTGTGTGCAATGAACTCACACCTGTAATCCCAACACTTTGGGAGACAGAGTCAGGAGGTCCAGAACAGCCTAGGCAACATAGCAAGACCTTGTTTCTACAAAAAACTTTTTAAAAAATTAGCCAGGCGTGGTGGTGGCACCTGTAGTCCCAGCTACTTGGGAGGCTGAGGTGGGAGGATTGCTTGAGCCTGGAGAGGTTGAGGCTGAAGTGAGCTATGATAGCACCACTGTACTCCAACCTGGGCAACAGAGTGAAACCCTGTGTCTAAAATAAAAAGAGGGCCTGGCGTGGTGGCTCACGCCTGTAATCCCAGCACTTTAGGAGGCCGAGGCAGGCAGATCACTCGAGGTCAGGAGTTCGAGACCAGCCTGGCCAACATGGTGAAACTCTGTCTCTACAGAAGTACAAAAATTAGTCGGGCGTGGTGGCAGGCGCCTGTAATCCCAGCTGCTTGGGAGGCTGACCTGGGAGAATCTCTCGAACCTGGGAGGCAGAGGTTGCAGTGAGCTGAGATCACACCATTGCACTGCAGCCTGGGCAACAAGAGCGAAACTCCGTCTCAAAAAAAAAAACAAACAAATAATAAAATAATAATAATAATAATAATAATAATAATAATAATAATAAAGAGGGTGGGAGTGGACCAAGGCCTAATGGCATGGAATTTGCAAACTTTATCTTCCTAGTTTTCTCTGGGGAGCCTTCCTCCATCACCAGGGCCCAGCAGGGCCTCAGATGGCGGGGGGTGGGGCGGGGGCTACACATATCCCTCATGGCCAAGATGCTAGGAAGCCCCTGAGCTGGGGCAACAGCCTCTGGTCACAGTCATGAGGGAGGCTGGGTGCAGTAGCGCTTATCTTGCCTGACCTTGTGGAGACTGACCACTCCCTCCTTCTGGAAAACGTTGCCCCCTGCCCTCTCCAAGGCCTCCTCCTTCTTACATCCCCTGGTCCTGGCTAGGGCCTCAGCACCCAATTCTACTCCTTGACCCACCACCCTGTGGTGCTTTTGCCGGGCCCCAGCCCACAGCCATCTGCCAAACACCTCCCCCTGGAGTCCCTGCGGCGTCTCTGACTCAGCAGGTCTGTGCCTGCCCCTGCTGTTCCCCCCACCCAGTGGCTCTGCAGAGCACCCTGTTGCCCAAGCCCTGAGTACTGGCCACTCCCAGGGCCTCGCCTTCCCCCACCACCAGCACCACCAATTTGAATTCCTATCTCTCCCTCTGGCCTCCTCCCTAGACCCAGGCCCTGCCCCAGGGTGGGGGAAGGAATCCTACAGATAAGGGCATTGGTCAAAGGGACACACCTGGGTTCGGGCCCCCAGCTCTGCCCCCAACCTGCTAAATGACCACACCCCTCTCCAAATCTGAGTTATTCCCTATGTAAAAGGGGGAAATAATTAAACTAGCTGGGTATGCTGTGCTGAGCAATATGTGAGCTCAGGAAAGGTCAGTTTTCCAGGGGAAGTATGGCCGCTGAGAGCCTCAGTCTAGTGCTTCTCATTCACGAGCTGGTTGGTGCCTTTCCTAAGTTGGAAATGGGTTAGTCCACAAATCCCGTTGCCTGGTCCATGCCAGGTCCAGGTACCTGCATTCAGGGTGCAGGGTGGAGTAAGACAGTCTGAAGGGTGAGGTAGCAGGATGAATGAGTAATTCCTGGGTGCGTTTTGGGATTATGCCTAAGGGCTGTCCGAGCACGTGGGAGGGGTAGCTAAATCCTGTAAGGGAGGGGAGAATGGGGAAGGCTGCCTGCAAGAGGTGGTGGAGGGTGCTTTCAAAGGATACCTGGGAGTGAGCTGGCTGTAGGCACAGGGCAGCTGGAAGGCCAATTTTAGGGAAGAGGAAATTGAGGCTGAAAGTCAAAAAACAAAGGAACTGCCTGAGGTCTCTCAACTGAGAAGTGAGTGGGCCAGGGTTCACATTCAGCCCCCACTCCATTCTCAGGCTGGGCAGGAAGGTACTTTGCCCTCAGGAGGGCACCTTCGACCCAAAGCACCCTGACCAAGAGGCTGTGCACCGTGGCAACCCTAAGACTGAGGCCCAGGTCCTGGAGTTCCACCAAGGTAGGTACAACCAGCCAGGCCGTCAGTGACAGGAGGATTTACTGGGGCTTCTAGGGACCCCGTGAAAGGGCAAAAAGACGGCACAGAAGCCTGTGGATATCAGATATAGATAGTGAGGGCTAGGGCTTTATGGGGAGGGTGGATGGGCCCTGTGGGCGGGGGATGTTTAGGAGATCTTCCAAACAGAGCATTCCAGCCTGGGGGAACAACCCATTATAGACCCCACCCAGCACCGAAGACAGGGACAGGTGGGGCTGAGCCTGGAGGCTGGCAGGACCTGTGCGGCCGGCTGCGGTGTCAGCAATGCCACCGTGTGTGGAACCCTCTGTGCCTAGGTTCCTGGAGCCAGCTCCACCTGGCAATGTGCTTTGTTTCACAAGACTAGAGTTGGCCCATCTTGTTCCGCCTCAGATGGAACACCTGACCTCCTGCACACCCCACCCAGCCTCCAAATTCAACCACCCCAGTAGTGAGACAGGGAGAGTAGGGTGTGACCAGAAGGTGGAATGAGCTTAAAATAGGCTGCAGAGATATCTCTGAGCTTTTAAAAAGTCGTATCTTTCATATCGTGTTCTTGTGAAATCTTCTCCAGATTTTTTACAATGACTCTGAAATTGATCAGTTAGCCTCATGCTTTCAAAATCCATAGCCGCAGTGAGCGAGAGGGGGCAGGTCAGCTAGAGGTGGAGGGGGCAGATGGGCCAGAGGCGCCTGGGCAGGGGTGGATGGGGCCTGGACAGGCTTAGTGACCCTTGCACCAGAACTCTCCGGACACCGCCCCTTCGCCCACTCGTTAGGCTCCTCTGCCTTCGGGCCGGCTGGGCTGCCCATCCCCCCTCGTTCCCCTCCTGGGCAGGTCTGGACTGGACAGGTTTTGGGCCTCCAGGTCGTGCAGTCAGTCAGGGAAGGGGCCTGGTGCAGGCCACAGCCAGGCATCCACCTCCTTCCCAGCCCACCCCTACCCCCCAGCAGCCTGCCAACTTGCTAGACCTGTGCGGCCTTCCCTTCTGCTGAAAGTCTCCAGATTCTCAGGGCTCTGCACGGGGAGCCAAGCTGGGGCTTAGAACTGTGCTCCCTTGCCCCCACCCCCGACCTGTGCCCTCATCAGCTTTCTTTTTTTTTCTTTTTTCTTTTTTTTTTTGAGACACAGTCTCGCTCTGTCGCCCAGGCTGGAGTGCAGTGGTGCGATCTCAGCTCACTGCAACCTCTGCTTCCCGGGTTCAAGCAATTCTCCTGCCTCAGCCTCCTGAGTAGCTGGGAGTATAGGTGCGTGCCACCACACCCCGCTAATTTTTTGTATTTTTAGTAGAGACGGGGTTTCACCGTGTTGGCCAGGATGGTCTCCATCTCCTGACTTGGTGATCCACCCGCCTCGGCCTCCCAAAGTGCCGGGATTACAGGCGTGAGCCACCGCGCCCGGCCTATTTTAAATTTTTTTTGTAGAGACAGAGTCTCACCATGTTGCCTAGGCTTGTCTCGAACTCCTGGTCGCAAGTGATCCTCCCCTCTCTGCCTCCGCCGTAGCTGGGATTGCAGGCACAAGCCATGACGCCCCCCTTCTCATCAGCTGTCTGGGTCTTTCTCGGGGTCCTGACACCAGGCCAAGTGTTCTGCACACCTGACCTGCTCAAAACAAAACCAGTTCTGCCACAGTCTGGGAAAATGAGGCTCAGAGAGGCCTTGCAGCTGTCTGTGAGCAGGCTGGCATTTGGATCCAGTGACTGGGTTCTGGAGCCCAGTGGCTCTGTGGCCCTGCCTCTCCAGCCTTATGCTTCTTTAAAACTGCCCATGGCCTCTGAAGTTGAGGATTTAGGGGAGCAGGGCTGCCAGAGGGGTGAAGAAGGAGATCTTTCTGTGGGTGGGTGTCAGAATGACCAGGCCTGACACTGGTCCCTGCTCCCCTGGAAGGACAGCCCCTCTCGGTTATGTGGGGGGTGGGCTGCCTAGGGTGCTCTGGGGAGAAGGGAGGGAGAGAATGGGGCTGGTCGGGTGGGGTGTGGATTCCAGGCCTGCTTGGTCAAAAAGATACAGTATTTCCTATTCCCCCTTACACTGGGCAGGCAGGTGTGGCCCAGGCAGCTCTGCCAGGTGTGCAGCCCCTGGAGAATGACCCTAAAGTGCACCTAGGCTGCCCCCTGGCGGCAGCATGAGGTCCTCCTCCCTGGACTTGTAACCCTCCCAGGGGGAGGAGGTCCACACCAGCTGATGGGTTGGCACCTGTCCCCAGTCCCTTTCTTCTTTCCTGTGCCACTGCTCCCAGAGTTGCCCAAAACACACGATCAGGTGCAGTGGCTTGAACGAAACCCTGTCTCTACGGAAAATACAAAAATTAGCCAGGCATGTTGGCTCATGCCTACAGTCCCAGCTACTTGGGAGGTTTAGGTGGGAGGATCGACAGCCCAGGAAGTCAAGGCCGCAGTGAGCAGTGAGCTGTGGTTGCGCCACTGTACTCCATACTGTAGCCTGGGTGACAGAGTGAGACCTTGTCTTTTTTTTTTTTTTTTTTTTGAGACGGAGTCTCACTGTGTCATCCAGGCTGGAGTGCAGTGGCGCGATCGGCTCACTGCAAGCTCCGCCTCCCGGATTCATGCTATTCTCCTGCCTCAGCCTCCCGAGTAGCTGGGACTATAGGCGCCCCTCAGCCTCCTGAGTAGCTGGGACTACAGGCGCCCGCTACCACGCCTGGCTAATTTTTTTGTATTTTTAGTAGAGACGGGGTTTCACTGTGTTAGCCAGGATGGTCTCGATCTGCTGACCTCGTGATCCACCCGCCTCGGCTTCCCAAAGTGCTAGGATTACAGGCGTGAGCCACTGAGCCTGGCCGAGACCTTGTCTTAATTAAAAAAAAAAAAAAAAAGATAAAAACCTAGGTAACATGCTGGGGGGTGATGAGGGTTATGGAGGAAAATAAAACAGGTGGGGGCTGGAGTGAAGAGTGGGGGTGCCCCTCATAACTCTGACAAAGACTACAACGCAGCTGTCAGAAAAAAAGCTGATTTGAGGCAATGGTCAGGGAAAGTTGTGAAATTAAGTAAAAAGTGATGGAACAGGCTAGGTGGGAAGTGGTGGCTCACACCAATAATCCAAGTGCTTTGAAAGGCCAAGCAGGAGGATCTCTTGAGGCCAGGTGTTTGAGATCAGCCTGGGCAACATAGCAAGACCCTGTCTTTACAAAAAATGTAAAAATTAGCTGGAGGCTAGGCTCAGTGGCTCATGCCTGTAGGGAGGCCAAGGTAGGTGAATTGCTTGAGCCCAGGAATTTGAGACCAGCTTGGGCAACATGGCAAAATTCCATCTGTACAAAAAAATTGCCAGGCATGGTGGCTCATGCCTGTAATCCTAACACTTAGGGAGGCCAAAGTGGGCAGATTACCCGAGGTCAGGAGTTTGAGACCACCCTGGCCAACATGGTGAAACCTCGTCTCTACTAAAAATACAAAAATTAGCTGGGCGTGGTGGCGCATGCCTGTAATCCCAGCTACTCGGGAGGCTGAAGCAAGAGAATTGCTTGAGCCTGGGAGACAGAGGTTGCAGTGAGCCTAGATCGTGCTACTGCACTCCAGCCTGTGTGACAGAGCAAGACTATGTTTCAAAAAAAAAAGAAAAATTAGCTAGGTGTGGTGACATGCACCTGTAGTCCCAGTTACTCAGGAGGCTGAGGTGAGAGGATCACTTGAGCCCAGGAAGTTGAGGCTATGATCGTGCTACTGCATTCCAGCCTGGGTGACAGCCAGATTCTGTCTCAAAAATCAAAACACAACAGGGCACAGTGGCTCACTTTGGCCTTCCAAAGTGCTGGGATTACAGGTCTGCACCACCATGCCTGGCCTGAGAGTGCATGAATTAAAGTTTCTATTCTCTTGCTAGTCTGTCATTGCTTCCCTAGTGTGTGGGAACCATACTTGTCCCCACTTCTCAGTCAGAGAGCAGCCTGCCAACCTCCAAGTCTCTTGCCCCTGACCCAAAAGGTCCCAGGCTGTCCTCTCGGCAGAAGCAGCTGTCTTGTGGCTTACTGTGCTCAGACTCCATTTCTAGGCTGTGGGCTCATCAGGGATCTAGTGCTTTGAAAAAGTGTAAAGGAGAGCAGCAGTATTATTCACAATAGCTAAAAGGTAGAAACGACCAAAGTATCCATTGACAGATGAATGGATAAACAAAATGCATTACATACACACAATGGACTATTATTCAGCCTTAAAAAGGAAGGAGGCCAGGTGTGGTGGCTCACACCTATAATCCCAGCGCTTTGGGAGACTGAGGCAGGCGAATCACTTGAAGCCAGGAGTTGGAAACCAGCACAGACAGCATGGGGAAACCCCCTCTCTACTGAAAATACAAAAGTTAGCCAGGTGTGGTGGCACATGCCTATAATCCCAGCTACTCTGGAGGCCAAGGCATGAGAATCGCTTGAACCTAGGAGGTGGAGGTTGCAGTGAGCCAAGATCATGCCACTGCACTCCAGCCCGGGTGACAGAGTGAGACACTGTCTCAAACAAACAAACAAAAAAAAAGAAACGTGTGGTGGAAGAAGGGAAGAAAATTGGCCAGGCACACTCTGGTAGGGGATGGTTGGATGATGAAATACAGACAATAGAAAAACCTAGATAAAGACCTGGCGTAATGGCTCATGCTTGTAATCCCAGCACTTTGGGAGGCTGAGGCGGAAGGATCTCTTGAGGCCAGGAGTTTGAGACCATCCTGGTAAATATAGTGAGACCCCAGTCTCTTAAAAAATAATAATTGGCTAGGCGCGATGGCTCACGCCTATAATCCCAGCACTTTGGGAGGCCAAGGCGGGCGGATCACCTGAGGTCGGGAGTTCGATACCAGTCTGGCCAACATGGAGAAACCCCATCTCTGCTAAAAATACAAAATTAGCTGGGCGCGGTGGTGTGTGCCTGTAATCCCAGCTACTCGGGAGGCTAAGGCAGGAGAATCGCTTGAACCTGCAAGGTGAGGTTGCAGTAAGCTGAGATTGTGCCGTTGCACTCCAGCCCAGGCAACAAGAGTGAAACTCCATCTCCAAAAAATAAAAATAAAAATAAAAATAAAAAAGAAATAGGCCGGGTGCAGTGGCTCACGCCTATAATCCTAGCACTTTGGGAGGCCAAGGTGGGGGCGGGGTGGATCACTTGAGGTCAGAAGTTCGAGACCAGCCTGGCCAACATGGTGAAACCCAATCTCCACTAAAAACACAAAAAATTAGCCGAGCATGGTGGTGGGCACCTGTAATCCCAGCTACTCGAGAGGCTGAGGCAGGAGAATGGCTTGAACCTGGGAGGCGGAGGTTGCAGTGAGCCAAGATCACCCCACTGTACTCCAGCCTGGGTGACAGAGTGAAACTGTCTCAAAAAATAAATAAATAAATAAATAAAACTTTTAAAAAGTAAGAAGAAGAAGAAAAAAAATATATGGAAATTAAAAAACAAGAAAAAAATAATAGGCCAGGTGCAGTGGCTCATGCCTGTAATCCCAGCACTTTGAGAGGCCGAGGTGGGCGGATCATGATGTCAGGAGTTCAAGACCAGCCTGGCCAACATAGTGAGACCTCGTCGCTACTAAAAATAGAAAAAAATTAGCCAGGCGTGGTGGCGGGCACCTGTAATCCCAGCTACTTGGGAGGCTGAGGCAGGAGAATCACTTGAACCCATGAGGCGGAGGTTGCAGTGAGCCGAGATTACGCCATTGCACTCCAGCCCGGGTGACAGTGCGAGACTCCATCAAAAAAAAAAATAAATAAAATAAATAAATATTAATAATAATTTTAAACAATTAAAAAATATGGGATTTTTTTGAGACAGAGTCTCACTCTGTCGCCCAGGCTGGAGTGCAGTGGCATGATGTCAGCTCACTGCAACCTCCGCCTCCTGGGTTCAAGTGATTCTTCTGCCTCAGCCTCCCAAGTAGCTGGGACTACAGGCACGCGCCACCACGCCCAGCTAATTTTTGTATTTTTAGTAGAGACAGGGTTTCACCATATTGGCCAAGCTGGTCTGGAACTCCTAACCTTGTGATCCACCCGCCTCGGCCTCCCAAAGTGCTGGAACTATAGGTGTGAGCCACTGCACCCGGCCAAAAAATATGTTTTTTAAAATAATAGAGATGAGGCCGGGTGTGGTGGCTCACACCTGTAATCTCAGCACTTTGGGAGGCCAAGGTGGGTGGATCACTTGAGGTCAGGAGTTCGAGACCAGTCTGGGCAACATGGTGAAACCCTGCCTCTACTAAAAATACAAACCTGAGCTGGGCATGGTGACGCATGCCTCTAGTTCCAGCTACTCGAGAGGCTGAAGCAAGAGAATCGCTTGAACCCGGGAGGCGGAGACTGCAGTGAGCCAAGATAGCACCACTGCACTCCAGCCTGGGAGACAGAGCAAGACCCTGTCTCAAAAAATAAAATAAATAAAATAAAATAAAATAAAATAAAATAAAATAAAATAAAATAAAATAAAATAAAAAATAAAATAAAATAAAATAAAATAAAATAAATAAAATAGATGAAGGCCAGGTGCAGTGGCTCACGCCTGTAATCCCAACACTTTGGGAGGCCAAGGCAGGCAGATCACCTGAGTTCAGGAGTTAGAGAGCATCCTGGCCAACATGGTGAAACCCTGTCTGTACTAAAAATACAAAAAAATTAGCCAGGCATTGTGGCGGGCGGCCAATAATCCTGGCTACTTGGGAGGCTGAGGCAGGAGAATCACTTGAACCTGGGAGGCGGAGGTTGCAGTGAGCCAAGATGGTACTACTGCACTCCAGCCTGGGTGACAGAGCAAGACTCTGTCTCAAAATAATAATAATAGGCCGGGCACGGTGGCTCACACCTGTAATCCCAGCACTTTGGGAGGCCGAGGCGGGCAGATCACAAGGTCAGGAGATCGAGACCATACTGGCTAACATGGTGAAACCCTGTCTCTACTAAAAATACAAAAAATTAGCCGGGTGTGCTGGTGGGCGCCTGTAGTCCCAGCTACTTGGGAGGCTGAGGCAGGACAATGGCGTGAACCCGGTAGGCGGAGCTTGCAGTGAGCCAAGATCGTGCCATTGCACTCCAGCCTGGGCGACAGAGCGAAACTCCACCTCAAAAAATAATAATAAAATAAAATAAAAATAAAAATAATAATAATAGAGATGAGGTTTTGCCATGTTACCCATGCTGGTCTCCAACTCCTTGGCTCAAGTGATCCATCCACCTTGGCCTTCCAAAGTGCTGGAACTACAGGCTTGTGCCACCACCCTGGCCTTAAACAATTATTCATGAAAGGAAGGAAATTCTGACACATGCTGCAACATGGATGAAGCTCAAGGACATTATGCTAAGGGAAGGAAGCCAAAGACCTGCCAGCCGAGGTCCCAGTCCGTCAAGGGCTCCAGTGAGCGAGCAGGATTGAGCAGGTCCCTGGGCTGAGCAGTGGGAACTCTGCTTTGCTGTGAGTGTGGCACGGGTGGCGGCAGACTGTGGAGTGCAGGCTCTGTGGAGCAACTGGACACTCTGTTGAACGAAGTGCAAGGTGGTAGGTTTTTGCTTTTTTTTTTTTTTCTGAGACAGAGTCTCACTCTGTCTCCTAGGCTGGAGTGCAGTGGCATGATCTCGACTCATTGCAACCTCTGCCTCCCGGGTTCAAGCAATTCTCTGCCTCAGCCTCCTGAGTAGCTGGGATTACAGGCGCGAGCCACCACACCCAGATAATTTTTAAAATATTTTTGGAAGAGACGGGGTTTTACCATCTTGGCCAGGCTGGTCTCGAACTCCTGACCTCGTGATCCACCTGCTTCAGCCTCCCAAAGTGCTGGGATTACAGGCATGAGCCACCGCGCCCGGCCACAAGGTGGTAGTCTTTCTCAAGGACGCTGGGGCAACCCCATTGCGTCTTCACCAACACCCTGGTACAGATCCTGCAGCTGCAGTCTACCCCGCATACAACATGTTCAATGATCCCTAGCTAGACAAGGCATTGAAAACTATTCCATAGGCCGGGTGCAGTGGCTCCTACCTGAAATCCCAGCAGTTTTGGAGCAAGGCGGGTAGATCATCTGAGGTCAGGAGTTCGAGACCAGTCTGGCCAACATAGCGAAACACCGTCTCTTCTAAAATACAAAAAATTAGCTGGGTATGGTGGTGCATGCCTGTAATCCCAGCTACTTGGGAGGCTGAGACATGAGAATCACTTGCACCAGGAGGCGGAGGTTGCAATGAGCCGAGATCACACTACTGTACTCCAGCTTGGGTGACAGAGTGAGACTCTGTCTCAAAAAAAAAGAAAAAAAAAATTAGCTGGGCATGGTGGCATGCACCTGCAGGCCCAGCTACTCAGGAGGCTGAGGCAGGAGAATCGCTTGAACCCAGGAGGCTGCAGTGAGCCAAGATCGAACCACTGCACCACAGCCTGAGTGACAGAGTGAGACTCCATCTCAAAACAACAACAACAACAAAAATCAACTATTCCTTGGGAGGCAGAGGCAGGAGGATGGCTTCAGGCCAGGAGTTGGAGCCAAGCTAGGCAACATAGCGAGAATTCCTCATCTCTACACACACACACACACACACACACACACACACACACACATTAATTAGCTGGGTGTGGTGGCACATGCCTCCAGATACTCAGGAGGCTGAGCGGGAAGGATGGTTTGAGCCCTGGAGGTTGAGGCTGCAGTGAGCCATGATCACGCCATGACAGAATGAGGACCAGGTGGAAGAACTGAAAACGCTGGGGATCCACACATCCGCTCCATCCTTTCAGATGGAAAGAAATACCAAGACTCAAAAAAATGAGGGTGCCCAGGTCCTCACTGAGCAGAGACTCACTGCTAAAAAAAAGCCTTACCTATTTGGGTTTTCACTAGTAAGCAGTTGGTTTGTAAGCAGTTGGTGATTTTAGTTTGTCTGGGTTTCAGCCATGAATATTCTATTGTAAACTTAATTATAACAACTGCACTGTAATAATTCAATGTCCTATTATGATGTTGTTATAGACAAAATTTGCCTTTACATTGTCATTTATTTTATTTTATTTTTCTTTTGAGACAGGGTCTCACTCTGTCACCCAGGCTGGAGTGCAGTAGCTCAATCTTGGCTCACTGAAACCACTGCTTCCCAGGCTCAAGCGATTCTCCCACCTCACCTTCTCGAGTAGTTGGGACCATAGGTGTGAACCACCATATCAGGCCAATTTTTGTATTTTTAGTAGATACGGGGTTTCAACATGTTGCCCAGGCTGGTCTTGAATTCCTGTGCTCAAGCGATCCACTTGCCTCGCCTCCCAAAGTGCTGAGATTACAAGTATGAGCCATTGACATTTAATCTTCCTTCCTTCCTTCTTTCCTTCCTTCCTTCCTTCCTTCCTTTTCTTTTTTTGAGATGGAGTCTCGCTCTGTCGCCCAGGCTGGAGTGCAGTGGCACGATCTCGGCTCACTGCAAGCTCCACCTCCTGGGTTCAAGCATTTCTCCTGCCTCAGCCTCCGGAGTAGCTGGGACTATAGGCGCAGGCCACCATGCCCAGTGATTTTTTATTTTTATTTTTTTTGAGACGGAGTCTCACTCTGTCACCAGCCTGGAGTGCAGTGGCGCATTCTTGGCTCACTGCAACCTCCACCTCCAGGGTTCAAGCAATTCTCTGTTTCAGCCTCCCGAGTAGCTGGGATTACAGGCACCCACCACCACACCCAGCTAATTTTTGTATTTTTAGTAGGGATGGGGTTTCACCATGTTGGTCAGGCTGGTCTTGAACTCCTGACCTCGTGATCCACCAACCTCGGCCTCCCAAAGTTCTGGGATTACAGGCGTGAGCCACCGCACCTGGCCTACTTTTTTAAACTTAAATTTTAAAAAAAATTAAGTTTATTTTTAATGTGATTTATTTATTTATTTATTTTTTAGATGGAGTCTTTCTCTGTCGCCCAGGCTGGGGTGCAGTGGCACTATCTTGGCTCACTGCAACCTCTGCCTCCCGGGTTCAAGTGATTCTTCTGCTTAGCCTCCCAAGTAGCTGGGGCTACAGGTGCATGTCACCACGTCCAGCTAATTTTTTTGTATTTTTAGTAGAGACAGTGTTTCACTGTATTGGTCAGGCTGGTCTTGAACTCCTGACCTTGTGATCCGCCTGCCTCAGCCTCCCAAAGTGCTGGGATTACAGGTGTGAGCCATGGCACCCGGCCTATTTATTTATTTATTTTTTAATTTTTTTTGAGACGGAGTCTCGCTCTGTCACCCAGGCTGGAGTGCAGTGGTGCAGTCTCGGCTCACTGCAAGCTCCACCTCCCGGGTTCATGCCATTCTCCTGCCTCAGCCTCCCGAGTAGCTGGGACTACAGGCGCCCGCCACCACGCCCAGCTAATTTTTTTGTATTTTTAGTAGAGATGGGGTTTCACCGTGTTAGCCAGGATGGTCTCGATCTCCTGACCTCGTGATCTGCCCACCTTGGCCTCCCAAAGTGCTGGGATTACAGGCGTGAGCCACCGCGCCCGGCCTCTTTCAATCATTTCTGATGACACCGGAGAAGGCAGTGTCCTTTCCTTATTGTCTCTTTTTTTTTTTTTACCTGGGTATTCTGGAAGTGTCTTTCCTCTGACAGTGTTGTTGGACGTGGGGAAACAAAAGGGTATCAAAGAGAGGGAGAGAAGGATAAAGACCACCCCTCATTCCCGCCCTCCCAGAGGGGCAGCCTGGGGAGTCTATGGAGGAGGTGACTTTGAGCCATGATGTGACCTTAGATGAGGGGCCTCTCTGAGCCTCAGGAAGCTCTTCTGCAAAATGGGGCAAATAAAGAAATGCCCTCTGTGTGCAGTGGCTCAGGCCTGTAATCCCAGCACTTCGGGAGGCCAAGGCAGGAGAATCACTTGAGCGCAGGAGTTCCAGACCAGCCTGGGCAACATAGTGGGACCCCATCTCTACCAAAAAATTTAAAAATTAGCCAGGCATCAGGTGTGGTGGCTCAGGCCTGTAATCCCAGCACTTTGGGAGGTTGAGGCAGGCAGATTGCTTGAGCCCAGGAGTTTGAGACCAGCCTGGGCAACACAGTGAGACCCCTGCTTCTACACACACACCAAATTAGCCAGGTGTGGTGGTGCACATCTGTAGTCCCAGCTACTTGGGAGGCTGAGGTGAGAGAATCATTTGAGCCCTGAAGCTCAAGACTACAGTGAGCTGTGATTGTGCCACTGCCCTCCAGCCTGGGCAACAGACCAAGACTCTGTCTCAAAAAAAGGAAAGGTCCAGGCGCGGTGGCTCATGCTTGTAATCCCAGCACTTTGGGAGGCTGAGGTGGGCGGATCATGAGGTCAGGAGATTGAGACCATCCTAGCTAACACAGTGAAACCCCGTCTCTAGTAAAAATACAAAAAATTAGCCAGGCGTGGTGGCGGGCGCCTGTAGTCCCAGCTACTCAGGAGGCTGAGGCAGGAGAATGGCGTGAACCCGGGAGGCAGAGCTTGCAGTGAACTGAGATTGCACCACTGCACTCCAGCCTGGGCAACAGAGCAAGACTCCATCTCAAAAAAAAAAAAAAAAAAAAGTGGAAAAGAAGGCCGGACGCAGTGGCTCACGCCTGTAATCCCAGCACTTTGGGAGGCTGAGGCGGGCAGATCACGAGGTCAGGAGTTTGAGACTAGTCTGGCCAACATAGTGAAACACTGTCTCTACTAAAAATACAAAAAATTAGCCAGGTGTAGTGGTGTGCACCTGTAATCCCAGCTACTCGGGAGGCTAAGGCAGGATAATTGTGTGAACCCGGGAGACAGAGGTTGTGGTGAGCCGAGATTGTGCCATTGCACTCCAGCCTGGGTGACAGTGCGAGACTCTGTCTCCAAATAAAAAAAAAAAAGGAAAAGAAATTCCATCCCAAGGTGATCCCTCACAGGAAGTGACTCAGAAAAGCAGTGAGCTACGAAAGCTATCTGAATGAAGCAAGATCGTCATGTGGGAGACACTGACTACCCACTCCTAGCAAAGGGCTCAGCAGCACACGGCCTCCCTGCGGGGATGCCCTCGGGGAAGATGTGGCCCAGAGGAGTTTTTTGGGCCTTGCTCCTCAGTCCTGGCTCTTAGTAGGACCCTCTGCAGCCAAACTAGCATATCCTGAGCCAGGCTGACCTTAAAAAGTAAGCATTCAGGGCCTAGGGACCTTGGGCAAAGCAGAGAAGCTGGTGTCAGATGAGGTGCAGCAGGTACAGTAGGATAAGGTGTTCTCAGGTCGCCAGTGCAGCCCCAAGATGAGCCTGCAGTATTTTCCTTACATGATCTGGTCCTACTGTGGGCAGCGCTGCTGCCCAGAGCCTGAGAGGATTATGAAAACATGGCAACGGAAGTGAGGCCAGGGGACACAGCATGGGGGCATGAGGAGCAGGGGACAGCGGGTGGGGCTAGAGGAGAGGGAGGTTTAGGGAGGCCTCTGCTGCTGTGACTGTGAGCCCCAGCCAATGATGACGTGGCCACCGCACAATCTGAGTTCTGGGAACCATGTGATGGAATGTGTTCTGGGAATAGACTGCAGCCAGGAAAAAAAAAGCAGAAGGGTGCACCCTCCCTTCCTCAGCCAGGAAAACATTTCTGTAGCCCTTGCGGACCCAATGCGCAGAAGTGAGAGGGAGGAAAGCCAGGCTCATGTTTCCTTGGTTGTGCTTCAACTTCTAAAATATGTTTTTTCTATGAACATTTTAATGAGGGGTTGGACATAAGACAGAAAAATAACATTCTGAGAGCTCGTTTGGAGGTTCTAGCAGGGGAGCGCAGCTACTCTTATACTCTTGACTGAAGACCGATCGTCCTCTATCGGGGATGGTCATCCTCTTCCATTGAGCACACAGCTTCTGGAGGGACGCACATGGAGTGGTGAGGGAGGAAGGGGATACCCGCCTAGTCAGCCAGATCAGCCGAATCAACCCTGATGATCAATGGGGTGACACATGTCGCAGCCAGATCACCCTCACATCCCAAAAATAACACTCAGATTGCTTTTTCTTTTTTAAGATGTAGACTTTTCTTGAGACTTTCGTACAAGGCAATGGACAGATAACCTTAACCTCCCAGAGAAAACACACATTGGCCACAGAAAAAGGCGCTTCTCCGTATACCTGCCATAGTTATCAGCAACTTTGAAATGGCTTCTCAGACTCTCAGGGGTTGGCTTGTTGTGTTTGCTTTTGCAAATAACTCAGGCTTAAGTCCTGCTACTTTCAGAGCCTAGGGGACGCTTAAGGACTACCATCAGTTTAACACAGTGGCACTTGGAGCACATGCTACTTATGGTGGTGAGGAGGGGTGCTGGTGTGAGGGTCTGAACGCTTGCTTCTCCTCTGGCAGGGTGTGAGCAGCCAGAGGCCACTACCTGGGCAAGGATGCTTGCTCAGTGTCCATGGAGGGACATGTGATCCAGCAGGTGGGCAGGAACCAGGCCCCTGTGGCCGCCCAACTCTCCATAATAGAATCCTTGGTCATCCATGGGCCCGTAAACCATGACCACGTCTCCTGCCCTCAGCGCCAGCCTGCCCTTCCCCTGGCCCCCCATTTGCCCATCCCCAGGATCATAGTCCAGAGCTGCTATCATGATCTTTGGAGTCCACAGTGGGAGTCTCTTGGAGTTCCCCTGGAGCACCAGGGAGGAACCCTGGGGGATGGTGAGCCCCTGAAAGTCCTCGAGGTGGGCCACAGAAGGCAGGTTCCCTTGGGCCGGAGAACGCCACCTCCTATCAGTCTGCTCTGTCCCCACCTCCATCTCAGCCACTAGGCGCCCGGGGATATTGCCCACTTGCCTGTTGCACTCGCTGAGGTAGAAATCATGGGTGTCCTGAGAGCCCCACACTCTTAGCAACTGCCTTTTCTGGAAGACCAGCTCCTCCTCTGCAGCCTTGAGGTTGGCAGACATCACCAGGGGGTTGTAATCAGAGAGGGCCACAAAGACCCTGGCTGGAGTGTTGGCCCCCGTCCCCAGCTGTTGGGGGCCACCCCTGGGCATCTTGATGACTTTGGCGGATGGAGCTGGACACAGTGCCGAGCTGGGCTCATGGAGCTGGCACCCTCTCTTCACCCCCAGAGCTTGTCCTTGCCTGCTGTGGGGCTCAGGCTCCCTCCTCTCCTCTCGCCTCTCTGTGCCCCACAGATCCAAGCACAGTGCCTCCTGCTCCTCCTTCAAAACGTTATGGAAGTCAGATGCATACTGTTGGCTGGCGCCCAGCTGGGGAGGTGTGAACCCTTGGGCATCTTGCTTTTGCCGAAGTACCCTCTCAAGGGCAGCCTTTTCCTGACACGGTTCTTTCCTGGGCCCACACTCGGTGCGTAGATGGATGAATCCTGGAGCAGGGCTTTTGCTGGTGCCCATGTGCTGGGAGCAATTTTCCTTCTCCCCAGGCTGGTCACTGACTGAAGGTGGCCTGTGGTTCTGGGGACTCTTCTGAAAGAGCAGGTCCTTTCTACAGCCCTCCCAGGCCTCTGCAAGCTCCTGGGCTTGGCTGCCAGCCCCTGAACTCGGACATTCTCCTTCTGAGCCCAGGTTGGACACTGGGGATTGCCTCCTTGGGGGTTCTTCAAAGAATGCTTCTAGGAACTTGGCCTGGGGCTCCCCGCAGCTTCCAGGGTTGTGGGGGCTGGCCTTGGCACTCGGAGGAGCCAGTGACAGCTTCTGGGGGCAGACGGGGAAGGTGACTCTGTAGGTGGATGGGTCGCCACAAGTGTAGCTAAAGGGTGGAGTCTCTGGCCATCGGTGACACATGAAGAAGTCCTCGGGGATCTGAGCAGGCACTGAATCCAGGGACTCACCACAGAGTGACATGGTTCTCACTGAGACCTTCTGCCACGTGAGGGGCACCTGTAGCTGGGAGAATTCCAATAGGGTGCTCCCAGCAGTGGCATCGGCGACCTCACAAACCTTAAGCCCATCTGCATACACAGCATAACCGGTGACCTGGACTCCATTGGAGGACCCAGCTGAGTCAATGGTCACAGGGAGCCAGCTGACCACCAGGACACCTGGCGAGGCATGGCGCTCCACCAGCACATCCAGCGGTGGGTAGGGAGGTCCTGCCAAGAGTGTGTCGAAGGTGACGGTGGAGGACATAGTTCCCCAATACACCTGCAGCAAGTCCCGTGGCAGCCGCACCTCCACCCGCGCCCGGTAGTGCGTGCCGGGGCACAGGCCCTGGAAGGTGTAGCAGCTCACGCCCGCTGGGGTCAGGGCATGCTCTCGGTCATCAAGATATACCACATGGGGGTGGCGGTGGCTGCTGTAGACCCAGGTGATGTTGGCTGATGTGGCTGTGACATTCTGCAGGTGTAGCTGCATGGGAGCCATACGGAGCACCCCTTTGGTCCCCAGAAGGGGTCTGGAGAGGCCCTGCTTCCCCATGCTCTGCAGCAAGCCCAGCTGGCAGGCTTCCGTCTTGGTATCCAGGATCTCTGTTGCTACTTCTGTCTTGGAGCCCACCCTGACCATCTGGCACAGCCCTCTGTCCACCACTCCCTGGGCTTTCCCAGATAATAAGCTGTCTTCCTCCAGAGCTTCATCCTGCCCCGCTGGGAGTTGACTGGGGCCAAGATCAGGGGATTTGGCAGGCAGGCAGCCTGGGATGTAGCTGTCCGGAATCTGCTCCACGAAGTTGGAGGGCACCAGCCCCCGCCGGCCATCCTCAAGCTCCCCCTCATAGAAGCCATCCTCATCCATGTCCCCGAAGATATATATGTAGTCCCCAGCTGTGAGGGGCAGCTCACCCTCAGGGTGATCATTGGGCCCCTCAAATGGGTTGTAGTTATACTGAGCCATGAAGATCTTGAGCTTGGGGGCAGCAGGAGCCGCCGAGCCCCCCATTTCCAGGGCCAGGGACACGCTGTCAGGCTCCAGGTCATCCACCTCACTGGCTGTGTCCCTGTCCAGAGTAGGGGAGGACGGCACGGTGGCCCACATCGACCCCTCAGAGGAGGAGTTTGACTGGGAGCTGGTTTTCTTGGACAGAGGTTGGCTGGCAGGGACTGTCTCTGAAACTTGGGGGACACTGGCTGACTCCCCAAGGGCAACTGGGCTCTCCTCGAGGGAGGCTTCCCTTTTCTCCTGTATGTCTCTGTTGGGCTGTGACACTGCGTAGTCTTCAGGCCGTGCGTGGAACTTGGGCCTTCTGCTACCTTTAACTTGGGACTCCGGCATTTGACTGGTCTCCCAGGGCTGTTCAGGAGGGTGACCAGGCCGACACTGGAGCGCCTGTATCTCCTTCCAGGAAGGATGGAGGTCACACAGGGCCTTCTGCGGGTCGCGTTGCAGCTGCTGCTGCCTGTCCTGCCCGCGCGCCGCCTGCTGCAGCAGCTGTTCGGCGATCAAGCCGGAGGCATCGCGCTCTTGACACGCGCGGCCCAGGTGGCCGCGCACTTCGCTATTCTCAGCCTCCACCTTCCGCACCCAGTCGGTCTTGGCCTGCAGCCGCCCATTCTCCTCCGCCAGCCAGGCGTTTTTGAGCAGCGCCGCCTGCAGCTGTGTCTCGGCCTCCTCGCCACGTCGCCGCGCCGGGGCCGCCTGCGCGCCCAGCTCCTGGCACTCGCGCCGCCGCTGGTCCAGCTCGCGCTCCAGCGCCAGCATCTGCCGTCGCACCTCCTCGCAGGTTGCGCTCTGGCCGCCCGCCTCGGGCCAAGCGCCACCGTTGCCCTGCTGAAGCATCAACTGCCTCTGCAGGCGCAGCACTTCCCGCTGGGACTCGCGCTGCAGGCGGTCTAAGTCTCTGACGTTGAGCCACTGGGTGCAGGGGCCGCCCCTTCCAGTATGCAGGTCGCTGCAGGGACCCGAGGCGACACGCGCCTGCAGGAGGTGGCACTCCTGCCGCAGCTCTTCGATCTGCTTGTCCTTGGCCAGCGGCGCGCTCGCCTGCTCCGACAGGTCCCGAGCGCGCTGGCGGGCAAAGACTTGGCACAGCTCCAGGCCGGCGCAACTCTCGCCGGGTATAGGCGCGCTCACGGCCCGGAGGTTGGTCTCCTGCAGCTTGCGGGCGCGGTCAGCTAGGCGCCGCGCGAGCCCGGTCAGCTCCGCGCGCTTTACCTTGAGCCGCTTCACCTTCTCGTCTGCCTGGTAGGGGCAGCCTGCACGCCGCAGCTGCTTGTTCTCCGCTTGCAGGGTATAACAGCGGCGCGCCAGCACCCACAACGCCTTGGCCAGCAGCCAGTTCAGCTTTATCAGCTCGTGGTGGCCCAGGCCCGGGGGTGAGGGAGTCAGGACTTCGCAGGGCTGGCTCTCAGAGCCTTCTCCTCCCCGCGGGTTGCTGAGTTTCCTGTGGGCTGACGGTGGTGGTGGCGGCGGGAGTGGCGATGGTGGCGGCGAGAGCCTCCGGGAGCCAGGGGTGGAGGTGTCTGGTGAGGAGGGCCGCTCCTCGGATTTGGAGGCCTTGGGGAGGCTCCGGGTGCTGTCAAGCGAGCGGGAACACGCAGGTGCGAAGCAATCAAGGGAGCTGGCGTGCGTGGAGAGCAGGCCGTCTGGGGAGCTGGAGCACGCAGAGGACACCAGGCCTAGCGAGCGGGAGCGCACACCGACTTCAGCACTCAGGCTGTCTAGAGATCCGAGTTGGCAGGCGGGTTTGGGGGCGTGGCAAGAGCCGCTGGAGGTCTGGGGCAGCGGTTCTTCCAAGGAATGCACAGCTTGGGGGTCCGGTGATCCCGACAAAGCCGGGTGCCCGCGGAAGTGCGCCAGGATGTACTTGAGGAAGAGCTGGCGCTCCACCTCCAGCGCCGCCTGCAGATAGCGGATGCGCGCCGCCTGCTCGCCGTCAGTCTGCCAGCGAAGCTGCGCCAACACTTCCTGCAGGCGACAGCGGCACTGCGCCGCGGAAACCTCGGACGCCCCCGGGCGGCTACAGTGGCCGCGGTTCACCAGCTCCTCGGCCAGCTGGCGCTGCAGCTCCCGGGCTTGGCGCACCACGCCATCGCGCTCCCGGTGCAGCAGCTGCTGCAGCTGCCGCTGCTCGGCCTCCTTCCAGCGCAGCAGCTGCCGGATCTCGGCCTCGCGTTCCCGCTGCATCTCCTCTTGCAGCTGCCGCAACTCCCGGCTGCGCTGTGCCTCCCACTTGGAGCGCAGACGGTCAGCCAGCTGTCGCCGCTCCCGCTCGGCCTCCTCACGCAGCTGGCGCTCCCGGGCAGCGAAGCGCCGCCGTTCCGCCCGCCAGCCTGCCCGCTCCGCCTCCAGCTCCGCCCGTAGCTTCTCCAGCTCCCGCCTCTGGTTCTCCAGCACTGCCGCCGCCGGGCTGGAGCAGCCCGGCTTCTTGGGCGACGCGCCCAAGGGGCTGGGCGAGTCCTTGGCCATTGCGGCCGCGGCCCGGCTGGTCTCCAGACTTCGCCTGGCAGGCCTCAGCTCGCCAACGGCCGCCGCCGACCGCCCGGCGCGCCCCTTCCGGCGCCCCCTGGGGGTCTCCGCGTGCCCCTTCCGCCTCTTGGCATGTTCCCCCGCCTCCTGCCGCGGATGTCTGGCCCAGGCGCCTCTCCACCTGGCAAGGCCAGGGCTGGACTCCCACACCCCTGCTCAAACTGGCCCATGTCCCTTCCAGGATGCACGGGGGCTTTTCCGGTCCCTACACTTTTCCTGCTTCTAGCACCAAGTCCCTTGTGACCCTCCCCAGGCACCCTCCCAGGCACTGTGCAGTCCCAAGCAGGCCGCGGTGCCCCGAGGGAAGTCTGGGCTGCTGCTCCTGTACTTGGAGAAAGGGGCAGGGTGTGTGTGTTAAGGCCACCCATGGGGTGTGGGCATACCTGGTCGTGGGTTCAGGTGGTGTATTTGGGTCAGGTGGCTGGAAAATGCAGCAGGATAGGCCTCAACTTGGCTAGACCTGGACTCCCCAGGACCCTTCAGCCCCCTAACAGCCCTGATCACCCAACTGGTCATCCACCTTTTGAGGAAAGGATGTGCCTGATACACATTTGTGTTACTGCGCAGAGTCGGCTCAGAGGAGGTGTAAGCGAAAAGACCCTCCCCAGCAAGGTGGCATAGGGACCCAGGGCCAGATAGGCATGAGGGGCACTGCCCAAACTGGCCATCTGGCCTGTCTACCTCCCACATCCAGGTACCACCTGGTGACAAACACTGGAGCCCCAGTGTCTGGGCTACTCATTGGCATCTTAGGTAGAGGCCTCAGGATGGGCCAGGAGTGAGGGTGAGGCTTCAGCAGAAATGTTGGAGGCATCCTGAGCTGCAGAAGAAACACACACACACACACACACACACACACACACACACACACAGCTGCAGAAGAAACATACACACACACACATACTGAGCTGAAGGAATACACACATACACTGAGCTGCAGAAGAAACATACATACACACACTGAACTGAAGAAATACACACACACACACACACACACACACACACTGCCTCTCTGACTGGTGGCCACCTGTGTGGCTTGGGAGCTAAGAAGCCCTGCTTCAGTCTGGCTCCTCTTTGCCCTTCCTGTCTGCTCCTGGTGCCAAGTGGCTTTTGGGAGACATGGATGGACACCTGATACCTGGCAGTCTGCATCGAGACATTGATTTTTTTTTTTTTGAGATGGGGCCCCACTCTGTCGCCAGGCTGGAGTGCAGTGGCGCAATCTTGGCTCATTGCAACCTCTACCTTCCACGTTCAAGAGATTCTCCTGCCTCAGCCTCCCAAGTAGCTGGGATTACAGGCTTGAGCCACCATGCCCAGCTAATTTTTTGTACTTTTTAGTAGAGACAGGGTTTCAGTATGTTGGCCAGGATGGTCTTGAACTTCTGACCTCAAGTGATCCACCCGCCTCGGCCTCTTAAAGTGCTGCGATTACAGGCATGAGCCACTGTGCCCGACAAGACCTTGATATTGAAGTCACATCAGAGGCCCCTTTGCTTCTTGGTCTGTCGTGTCTCCCTGTCCCCAGGAAGCACCTGGGACCTCTCACAACTGCTGTGTTCACTCAGCTTATGGCCCTCCTTTACAACACTCAAGTTTTTCAAATCAGTTTCCCCGGAACCCACAGAACATGCCTTTAGGCAGTGTCAAGTAACAAGAACATCGGGAATTATGGCTCCAGATGTTCTTTTTTTTTTTTTTTTTTTTGAGATGGAGTCTCGCTCTGTCGCCCAGGCTGGAATGCAGTGGCGCAATCTCTGCTCACTGCAAGCTCCGCCTCCTGAGTTCACGCCATTCTCCTGCCTCAGCCTCTCAAGTAGCTGGGACTACAGGTGCCCGCCACCATGCCTGGCTAATTTTTTTTGTATTTTCAGTAGAGATGGTCTCGATCTCCTGACCTTGTGATCTGCCCGCCTCAGCCTCACAAAGTGCTGGGATTACAGGCGTGAGTCACGGCGCATGGCCCTTTATTTTATTTTATTTTATTTTATTTTATTTTATTTTATTTTATTTGTGAGACAGAGTTTTGCTCTGTCACCAGGCTGGCATGCAGTGGCACGATTTCGGCTCACTGCAACCTCCAACTCCCTCGTTCAAGTGATTCTCCTGCCTCAGCCTCCTGAGTAGCTGGGATTACAGGCATGCGCCACCACGCCCAGCTAATTTTTGTATTTTTAATAGAGACAGGGTTTCATCATGTTGGCCAGGATGATTTCGATCTCCTGACCTTGTGATCCGCCCACTTTGGCCTCCCAAAATGGTGGGATTACAGGCGTGAGCCACCGTGCCCAGCCCAGATGTTCTTTATGAGAGGTGAGGCAGATGTAGTGTGTATGTGAGAGGAAGGGGAGGTGAGATGCAGGGATGGCCTTAGCCTTGAACTGGTGCTGGGCTCCTGGGCATGGTAGCCACAGGGAGGACTATCTTGAGAGAATCTTCATCACAGCCCTGTTTTACGGAAGAGAACCTGAGGCTCAGTGAGAGCCACTGGCTTGCCAGGGCACATGGGCAACTGAGGCAGAGCTGGTGGGTGGGGTTTCACAGCCTGGATGCCCTGCTGCAGTCTCCAGTAGGGCCTCAACTGTCAGGTCAGGAGGGCAGGCTGGGCCGGGCATGGTGGCACAGACCTGTAATCCCAGCCCTTTGGGTGACCAGGGTGGGAGGATCACTTGAGCCCAGGAACTCAAGACCTGCCTGAGCATCATAGAGAGACCCTGTCTCTACAAAAAAAATTTTAGCTGGGCGTGCTGGTGCATGCCTGTAGTGCCAGCTACCCAGGAGGCTGAGATGGGAGGGTCACTTAAGCCCGGGAGTTTGAGACTAGCCTGGGCAACAGAGTGAGCGAGACCCAGTCTGCATTTCCAGCTGAGATGAAATGATTGCTTGAGCCTGCAAGGTGAGGTCAAAGTCGCAGTGAGCTGTGATGGCACCACTGCACTCCAGCCTGGGCAACAGAGCAAGACTGTCTCAAAAAAAAAAAAAAAAAAAAAAAGCCTGGTGCGGTGGCTCACTCCTGTAATCCCAGCACTTTGGGAGGCCAAGGCAGGCGTATCACGAGGTCAGGAGATAGAGTCCATCCTGGCTAACATGGTGAAACCCCGTCTCTACTAAAAATACAAAAAATTAGCCATTAGCCAGGCGTGGTGGCGGGCACCTGTAGTCTCACTTATTTGGGAGGCCGAGGCAGGAGAATGACATGAACTCAGGAGGTGGAGCTTGCAGTGGGCCGAGATCCCGCCACTGCACTCCAGCCTGGGCGACAGAGCGAGACTCCATCTCAAAAATAAAAATTAAAATTAAAATTAAAAAAAGAGAGTAGGCTGTCACCAAGAAAAAGGACACTGGGGTGGATGGGTCTCTGGGAACCCCACAGTTACCATCCAGCAGCTGCCCCAAAGTATGTCAAAAGCATTCGGGAATGTTGGTTGAGTGGATGAGCAAAGCCAGGCTTCCCCAGGGCTGGGTTTCTGCCATCCCTGTTCTCATCATGTTGTGCAGTGATTGTCCAGTGACCTGCCTGTCACCCCCATCAACTCTGATCTTGGGGAGAGCAGAAGCCATGTTTTCCCTTGTCCCTATTGCATCCGTGCATGTGACTTAGCACATCACTGGTGCCCAAGACATATGAGAATGAGTTGCAGGGAGGCAGGAGTCCCTGCATGAGCTCACCATGCTGCTGCCTTCTCCAGGTTCAACTTTCTCACCTATTAAATGAAAGAGATGGTTTCTTTTTTTTTTCTTTGAGATGGAGTCTCACTCTGTCACCCAGGCTGGAGTGCAGTGGCATGATCTCGGCTCACTGCAATCTTCACCTCCTGGGTTCACGTGATTCTCCTGCCTCAGCCTCTCAAATAGCTGGG
Source organism: Homo sapiens (assembly GCF_000001405.40). NCBI lineage: Eukaryota > Metazoa > Chordata > Mammalia > Primates > Hominidae > Homo > Homo sapiens. The sequence continues at coordinate 18,615,355 of NC_000022.11, forward strand.
ATTACAAACACCTGCCACCATGCCTAGCTGATTTTCATAGTTTTAGTAGAGACAAGGTTTCGCCATGTTGGCCAGGCTGGTCTTGAACTCCTGACCTCAAGTGATCCACAGGCCTCAGCCTCCCAAAGTGCTGGGATTACAGGCATGAGCCACCATGCCCAGCCTGAAAGTGGTGGTTTCAAACTGGGTTCTTTAGGGCTCCAGGGTTCCTTGGAAATATAGAACTGCTGGGCACACACCTATACTCCCAGCTACTTGGGAGGCTGAGGCAGGAGGCTTGCTTGGATCCAGGACTTCTGGATTGTAATGTACTATACTGATGGGGTGTCTGCACTAAACTTGGCATAAATTGGTGACTTCCTGGGAGCAGGAAACCACCAGCTTGTCTAAGGAGAGGTGAACTGGCCCAGGTTAGAAAAGGAGCAGGTTGGCCGGGCTCGGTGGCTCATGCCTGTAATCCCAGCACTTTGGGAGGCCAAGGTGGGCAGGTCACCTGAGGTCAGGAGTTCGGGACCCGCCTGGCTAACATGGTGAAAACCCGTCTCTACTAAAAATGCAAAAATTAGCTAGGCATTGTGGCGCATGCATGCCTAATCCCAGCTACGCGGCAGGCTGAGGCAGGAGAATTGCTTGAATCTGGGAGGTGGAGGTTGCAGCAAGCTGAGATTGCACCACTGCACTCCAGCCTGGGCGATAGAGTGAGATTCCATCTCAAAAAAAAAAAAAAAAAAAAAAGAAAGAAAGAAAAAGGAAAACGAAAAGGAGCAGGTCAAAACTCCTGTGCTGGCTGGGCGCAGTGGCTCACGCCTGTAATCCCAGCACTTTGGGCAGTTCAAGACCAGCCTGACCAATATAGTGAAACCCCATCTCTACTAAAAATACAAAAAATTAGCTGGGTGTGGTGGCAGGCGCCTGTAGACTCAGCTTCTCGGGAGGCTGAGGCAGGAGAATCGCTTGAACCCGCGAGGCAGAGGTTGCAGTGAGCCAAGATCATGCCATTGCACTCTAGCCTGGGTGACAGTGCAAGACTCCATCTCAAAAAAAAAAAAAATTTTTTTTTTTGTAGGCTGGGCGCCGTGACTCATGCCTGTAATCCCAGCACTTTAGGAGGCCAAGGTGGGTGGATCACTTGAGATCAGGAGTTCAAGACCAGCCTGGCCAACATGGTGAAACCCTGTCTCTACTAAAAATACAAAAATTAGCTGGGCATGGTGGCAGGTGCCTGTAATCCCAGCTACTCGGGAGGCCGAGGCAGGAGAATTGCTTGAACCCAGGAGGTGGAGGTTGCAGTGAGCTGAGATCACGCCATTGTACTCCAGCCTGGGCAACAGAGTGAGAGTCTGAGTCAAAAAAAAAAGAAAAAAAATTAACAACAGGCCAGATGTGACGGCTCATGCCTGTAATCCCACCACTATGGGAGGCTGAGACGGGCAGATCACTTGAGCTCAGGAGTTCAAGACCAGCCTAGACAACACGGCAAGGCTGCATCTCTATAAAAAAATTACAAAATTTAGCCTGGCATGGTGGTGCACGCCTGTAGTCCCAGCTATTTGGGAGGCTGAGATGGAAGGATACCTTGAGCCTGGGAGGCAGAGGTTACAGTGGACTGAGATTGTGCCACTCCACTTCCACCTGGACGAGAGAGCCAGTCCCTGTTTCAAACAACCAAAAAAACAAAAAACCCACCCCCCCAAAATAAAAACAATAATAATAATAAAAATAAATAAAACAGAAATACCATAGGCCTTTTGGGAGGAGGTATGCAGGAAGCGGATGGGGAGAGACAGTGCCCCTACTTGCTTCAATGGGCAGATCTACTCTTTTTTTTTGAGACGGAGTCTCGCTCTGTCACCCAGGCTGGAGTGCAGTGGTGCAATCTTGGCTCACTGCAACCTCCGCCTCACGGGTTTATGCCATTCTCCTGCCTCAGCCTCCCGAGTAGCTGGGACTACAGGCGCCCGCCACCGAGCCCGGCTAATTTTTGTATTTTTTAGTAGAGATGGGGTTTCACCATGCCAGCCAAGATGGTCTCGATCTCCTGACCTCGTGATCCACCCTCTTCGGCCTTCCAAAGTGCTGGGATTACAGGTGTGAGCCACAGCACCCGGCCGGCAGATCTACTCTTAAGTGTCACTTATCAGATTCGAAGAAGGGTTTTGGTTTAATAAAGCGTTATGCTCCTTGAAACAAGTTTCAGAACCCCTGGGTTAGAGGACCTCTTGCCCATTGTGTGCTCACACACACACGACACACACATACCCCATCCCAGTACGTAATGACTTCCCTGACCCGGAGAGAAGGCGATATGTCCCCCTTACATCTCAGTTGGCTCCACATCGCCAGCTCTGTATTCCACTTTCCCTCTCTCTACAACCCCAGTCTATGACTTTTGGGCCATGGAGTCTGGGTTCCTGGGCAACCTGGTTCACATCCTTCTCCTGCCGGCATGGCCTGGCTCCATTTCTGTTCGGCTACCAAAGCCCCAAGCTTTGTGGAGCCTGCCTGGCCTTGAGGAGGGGAATGGGCTCCATCCTGAGAGCCTGCAGGAGGGTTTAAGCTTCCCATCCCCCATTGCTACAGTAGCTCCCCCAGCTTTTCATTCCATATCCTTTATTTTTATTTATTAAAAACTTAATTTTTGGCCGGGCGCGGTGGCTCACGCCTGTAATCCCAGCACTTTGGGAGGCCGAGGCAGGCGGATCACGAGGTCAGGAGATCGAGACCATCCTGGCTAACACGGTGAAACCCCGTCTCTACTAAAAATACAAAAAATAGCCAGGCGTGGTGGCGGGCGCCTGTAGTCCCAGCTACTTGGGAGGCTGAGGGAGGAGAATGGCGTGAACCCGGGAGGCAGAGCTTGCAGTGAGCCAAGATAGCACCACTGCACTCCAGCCTGGCGACAAAGTGAGACTCCGTCTCAAAAAAAAAAAAAAACAAAAAACACTTAATTTTTTTTTTTGTAGAGACAGGGTCTCCCTATGTTGCCTGGGCTGGTCTCAAACTCTTAATCTCGAGTGATCCTCCCACCTCAGCCTCCCAGAGGGATGGGATTACAGGCATGAGCCACCATACCCAGCCACATATTTTTTATTTTTGTTTCTATGTGTTTTCTGTCTGTTCTTTGCTGTCTCCTCCATGTCTAGAACAGTGCCTGGCACATGATAGGTGCTCAGTAAATACAGGACTGAAGAAGACAGAGGCAGACAGGCCAGATGTGGCTGCTGTCCTTAGGGAATTGACAGTCCATGATCTATGAGAATGAGCTGCAGACTGGGAGGCAGGTGTCCCAGCATGGGCTCACCAAGCTCCTACCCTCTCCCGGTCCAGCTTTCTCACCTATGAAATAAAAGTGAAGCTGGACATGGTGGCCCACGCCTCTAATCTCAGCAGTTTGGGAGGCCAAGGTGGGTGGATCACTTGAGATCAGGAGATTGAGACCAGCCTGGCTAACATGGTGAAACCCCATCTCTACTAAAAAACACAAAAATTAGCCGGGCGTGGTGGCAGTTGCCTGTAATCCCAGCTACTCGGGAGGCTGAGGCAGGAGAATTGCTTTAACCTAGGAAGTGGAGGTTACAGTGAGCTGAGGTTGTGCCACTGCACTCCAGCCTGGGTGACAGAGCAAGACTCTGTCTCAAAATAAATAAATAAATAAACAAACAAACAATAAATGAAAGTGATGGATTACATGAATGGTTTTCAAACTGGGTTCCTCAGGGCTCAGTTTGGGGGAGAATGCAAAGGTTAAATACAAACAACAATGGAATGTAGTAACATTGGCGCTTGGGCGAGTGCTCTGGGTGAGGAATGTGGTGCTCATGGGGAGAAGAGCCGCATCAGAGCAGGCTTCCTGCATGAGGCAAGGAGGAAACACAAGAGCTGAGAGCTGAAGGAGAGGGAGTGAGGGCTGCCAGAGGAGCTGGGAGGCGATTTCAGGCAGTGGGAACTGGAGCTGCAAACCCCCAGCCTCCTGCAGTCTGGCTATCTGTACCAGCCCTCACCCATGCCCACCACCCTCAGGGCACTCACATCCCTTCTTGCACTGATATTTTCCCGTCCTATCATGACCCTCGTTTGAGGGTGCAGGGAGGACTGGAGCTCAGAGAGGGAGGGTCACCTGGCCAGACCCTAACCCGCTGAGTTCCAGTGGAGTTCCTTCCATCCCCCAGCACTGGATGGGGCTGGATACCTGGAGAGGGACCGTGCTGCTCTTCCTGGGCCCTGCAGCCTGCCTGGCTGGTCCACATCTTCCTGGGCCAGGAGGGCAGTATGGTGCGAGCTTCTAGCTCTCTGGCTGGGGCCCCCTGGCCTACTGGGCTGGCTTCCTGCCCTGGTGGCCCTGGCCCAGCTCCCCAGCTCATGTGCCTCTGCAGCGAGTGGTCAGCCCCTTCCCATCTGCACTTTACAAGCCTCATCGCTGAATCCTCCCCATAGCCAGAGAGCCTGGCACTCTCCTCTCCAGAGAAGGAAACTGTCCAGGGTCACACAGGGACTTATGGGCAGGTCTGTGTGACCTGAGTCTGGGCTCTGAACTGGTGCTTGCAGGGTCTTGCCCTCTGGCTCTGGCAGCCTGAGTGTTACTGTAATCCCTGAGCCTTTGAACAAGCAGGCACTGCTTCCTGAGATCCCCATTGCTGCTGTCAGCGTCTCTGTTTCCCAGCTCCACACTGCTGCCAGGACAGACGTATCTTCTGTCTTGTAGCATCTCCATTTCTCTTCCCTTTAGATCTATTTTTTTTTTTTTGAGATGGAGTCTCGTTCTATCATCCAGGCTGGAGTGCAGTGGCACAATCTTGGCTCACTGTAACTTCTGTCTCCTGGATTCAAGCGATTCTTCTGCCTCAGCCTTCCAAGTAGCTGGGATTACAGGTGCATGCCACCACGCCTGGCTAATTTTTGTATTTTTAGCAGAGACGAGGTTTCACCACGTTGGCCAGGCTGGTCTCAAACTCCTGACCTCAGGTGATCTGCCCACCTCAGCCTCCCAAAGTGCTGAGATTACAGGCATGAGCCACCGCTCCCGGGCTGGATCTATTTCAATCACCCTCCTTCCTCTGCAGCCTGAAACTTGAGGCTTTGCCCACTTCCCAAAGGCACGAGTAGCAATGACCATTTGTTCTGTCATTTGGCCATAGCTCTAGGTCAGAGGACAGTCCTTCATCAAATGTTTGTTAAGCATGCAATCTAGACAGGGGAGGACAAGGGCCAAGTAATGTGTTAATTTCTTCATTCACTAAGCACAGAGAATGGAGTAGAAGGAAGGTGGAAAGGAGAAGGAAGGAAAAGAGAGAAGAAGGAGGATAGAAAGGAAGGAAGGTGGGAGGGAGAAAGGAAAGAAAGAGGGAGTCCTTTAGGTTATCTAAGTCCCCTCAGGACTTGGTCTGGCCCTCACAGTTCAAGAACAGACTTGGGCTTGAGCCTCTGACCAGCCAGATGACTGAGAAGCTGAGGAACAGCTTGAGCCTCAGTTTTTTCCTCTGTAAATGGGGTTGATAGCAGTTCTGACCCAGCGGGCTGTTGGGGGAGTCACAGAGATGCTGGGTGCTGCCTTTGCACTCAGAAGGGTCCAGGCTAGGTGTGGTGGCTAACACCTGTAATCCCAGTACTTTGGGAGGCTGAGGTGGGAGAATTTCTTGAGTCCATGAGTTACAGACCAGCCTGGGTAATATAGAGACAAACTGTCTCTATAAATTTTTTTCCCAAAAATTAGCCAGGCATGGAGGTGTGCACCTGTAGTTCTAGCTGCTTGAGAGTCTGAAGTGGGAGGATAACTTGAGTACAGGAGGTTGAGGCTGCACTGAGCCATGATCACACCACTATACTCCAGCCTGGGTGACAGAGCCAGACCCTATCTCAAAAAAAAAAAAAAAAAAAAAATCAAAGGGGTCCAGCAGCATCTTCCTGTCAGCTTACCTAAGGGAGCATGATAAATTGAGTCCCTGCCACGATGGACATGGGGAGTGTAGTGGGAGGGAATGGCAAAGGCACCACAGGCAGAGGGAACAGCCTGGGCATAGTGGGGGGTGTGATGTGGCACAGCACTGATTGTGGGAAGCGAGGGATGTGGGAGATGAGGCTTCAGGTAGTCAGAGGGAGGTTGAGGCAAAGCCTCACCTGCATGCTCTAGATGAGGTCCAATTCCTGGTACCCAGCTCCTAGCCTAGTAATGGGCCACTTCTCCCAGGGCCACAGTTTTCTCTCCTATCAAATGGAACATGTTAGCACTGCTCTATGGTGCCAATGAAGGGTATAAGTGTCCAGTGCCCATTTCCTGCCCCAGCAAAGGCACTTTCTTTTCCTTGTCCTCTTGCCTACTGGGGAACTCCTTCCATCCCTGGTTCCTCCCCCAGCTTCTGCGAGGCCCCTCCTCTGAGCCCCCACACCTCATCAAACCCTCAACACCGTCTGGTGTTTTCCTTGGTGCCTCTTCAAGATGCTGTGAGCTCCTTGGGGGCAGGTGGTGCCTGTGTACCTCTTTTTTTTTTCTTTTTTTTTTTTTTTTGAGACGGAGTCTCGCTCTGTCACCCAGGCTGGAATGCAGTGGCGCGATCTCGGCTCACTGAAAGCTCCACCTCCCGGGTTCACGCCATTCTCCTGCCTCAGTCTCCTGAGTAGCTGGTACTACAGGGGCCCGCCACTGCGCCCGGCTAATTTTTTCTTTTTTTCTTTTTTTTTTTTTTTGAGACGGAGTCTCGCTCTGTCTCCCAGGCTGGAGTGCAGTGGCACAATCTCCGCTCACTGCAAACTCCGCCTCCCGGGTTCACGCCATTCTCCTGCCTCAGCCTCCCGAGTAGCTGGGACCACAAGCACCCGCCACCACGCCCAGCTAATTTTTTGTGTTTTTAGTAGAGACGGGGTTTCACCGTGTTAGCCAGGATGGTCTCGATCTCCTGACCTCATGATCTGCCTGCCTCGGCCTCCCAAAGTGCTAGGATTACAGGCGTGAGCCACCACGCCTGGCCTTTTTTTTTTTTTTGTATTTTTAGTAGAGATGGGCTTTCCCTGTGGTCTTGATCTCCTGACCTCGTGATCCACCTGCCTCGGCCTCCCAAGGTGCTGGGATTACAGGCGTGAGCCACTGCGCCTGGCCCTGTGTATCTGTTTTTCTGGACCGCCATCATGTTCAGGAAGGCATCGAATATTTTGTCCGCGACTGCAATCACACACTGCATCATCCCTGAAACGAGGTTTCCACGGATAAGGTGCAGCAACAGAGAGAGAATCCTAGCAACTTTCAATCATTTTCTTTTGAAATGGTTTTAGACTTACAGAGAGTGGCAAAGACAGCACAGAGCTCCCATATACCCTTCACCTAGCTTCCCTGGATTTTAACATCTGCAGTAACCAGGCTGATGTGTCAAAACTGAGTCAGATATTGATATAATCCTATTACCTAAACTTCAGACTTCGTCTGGATTTCCCAGGTCTCCCACACATGCCCCGCTTCTGTTCCAGCATCCAACCCAGGACACCAGGTGGCATTTAATCTCTGTGTCTCCTACTCCCTTCCAATATGTGGTGACTCCCCAGTCTGTCAATGTCTTTTGTGACTTTGACACTTTTGAAGAACAGTTATTTTGTTGAATGTCCCCTAATTTAGGTTTGTCTGATGCTTGCCCATGATAAGACTAGGGTTACAGGATTTGAGGGAGAACTCCATAGAGTGGATGTGCCCTTTCTTTTTTTCTTTATCATTTTTTTGAGATTGAAACTCGCTCTGTCGCCCAGGCTGGAGTGCGGTGGCACGATCTTGGCTCACTGCAACCTCTGCCTCCTGGGTTCACGCCATTCTCCTGCCTCAGCCTCCTGAGCAGCTGAGACTACAGGCGCCCGCCACCACGCCCGGCTAATTTTTTGTATTTTTAGTAGAGACTGGGTTTCACCACATTGGCCAGGATGGTCTTGATCTCCTGACATCATCGTGATCCGCCCGCCTTGGCCTCCCAAAGTGCTGGGATTACAGGCGTGAGCCACCGTAACCAGCCTGCCCTGCGTAATTTTTGTTGTCGATGATCCAAAGTGCACCCACTCGCCATCTCTGGTAGCTGGGAGGAGCAGGTTTTTGGGTGAAGGTGAAAGAGCCGGAGTTGGGGATGTGTGTGGCTGGGGGGTACAGGTGCGACCACTTTGCAGTCCACTCCTGTGAGTAGGGCATTCCTGAGGGAGAGAAGGCCTGGTTAGCCCTGGGGCTCCTTCAAGGCCTGGCCCCAGGCCTTGATACCTAGAGCAGCCTGACACATGTGTGGATGGACTGCCAGGCGGTCCCCTTAGGAGGGGCTGTTCTAGCAGGGACCCTGGCTTGGGTGACCACCACCTCCTGCCACACTCCAGGATCCCTGTCCCTGCTGGAAGCCGGGCCCAGGGCCATGCCAGCCGTGAGGGGTTCCTCATGAGCCTCCTCCCCGGGACCCAGGCCCCATGCAGCTGCCCCCTCCCACCTGCCTGACCCCCCTGGCCTGCACTTCCCTCCATCCGAATCCTCAATCTCCGCCTGGAATTCCCTTCCCTCCTCAACCCCACCTGGAAACTCTCCTCCTCCTCCCACACAGCTGGGACTCCCTTTCTCCCACCTCTGGGGGCCCAAAGCTCTGGATGCCACCCTAGCCCTCAGCTGGCCTCACCTGTCTCCTCATAGCCCCACAGCTTGATGGTGTCTGTGTGGGCAGCGCCTCAACGTGCCAGGTCAGGCTGAGGTTGCCTGAGGTGTTGGCGGTGCCGTAGTATTGCCAATGCATCTCGTTCATCAACTCACTCTTCTCCTTCATCAACACTTTGTTGGGGTGCACTGGGCAGGGGAGGTGAGGGGTGAGTGAGGGCTGGGCCCAGGGAAGCAGGGAGGAGGCCCTGAGGCTTCAAGGGCTGTGGGAGCCTCCAGGGCCAATGCATGGCAGCAGCTGGGTGATGGTCTCTCCGGCCCTCATGGCAGAAAAGGACGCTGAGGCCGGAGAGGCAGGGGCCTGCCCTCCCTCCACTGCCCACGCCTCTAGCCTCCACCTGGCTTCTCCCCTGCCCTGGTGTGGCGGAGCTCAGTGGATAGGCACTGGCCCACCTCTCTAGGGACCCCTGCAGCTCCCACTCACTCTGGGCTGGGACCGTGGTCTGGATGCCAGGGAGTGGAAAGGAGCTGAAGGAACTCTCGCAGGCGGGCAGGCCTCCCAAGGGATTGGTTCAGCCAGAGAGGCAGGACACGGACGGGCCAAGTCTCGGTGTGCATAGATTAGCGCTGGGGAAAGTCCCCGTGGGGGCAGGCTGTGGGCAGGGAGGAGGGCTCACCAGCCAGCCAAGTGCCCGCACGAGGGAAGGAGTGGCCATCGTCCAGTGAGATGGTGAAGGGGACGTGGCCGCTCTCATAGAGCAGGGGCGACACGAAGTGCACTTGCCCGGAGGAGTCCACATGGCCGAGGGTCTGGATGCTCTCCTGTGGCATGCAAACCTGTGGGCCTGGTGGTGGTAGGAGGTGCTGGGCCACTGCAGGCTGAGCATCTCGACAGTCTGGGCCCCCAACCTCCCTGGGGAACCCATCCAACCAGCTGTCCTGTGCCCTCCTGCCTGTCCTGGGTCTGAGGGGCTCCATTCAGCCTGCCAGTGGGTCTGAGCCCTCAGCATGCACAGGGATGGGGGCGTGGGGCCCCAGTGCCCGGCCTCCTGGGCCTCCCAACCTGCAGATCACACTGGTGTCTGTGGGGCTGGACATCTTGAAGTGCCGCACCACAAAGTCCTTGCCGCCCATCATGGAGACTGAGTAGGGCAATATCTCCAGGCAGAAGTCCTGGAAATCCAAGCAGCAGGTACCAAGGCCGGAGCACGTCGGGTGGCAGGAACATGGCCTGTCCAGGGCGCCACAGCGCATGGAGCAGCTCTCTTGGGCATCTGGAGGAGAGGATGCTGAGGGCCTGGCCTGGCGGGTGCTGGACTGGCTGCCCCATGTGCAGGGCCTGTCTCTGTTTCTCCCACAGCCCATTAGACAGCAGCATCCCCAGGAAAATGCTGGCCGGGAACTGCACAGGCCACCACGTTGATATGGTAGAAAGTCACAGGGCCCGTGGGGATGGGATGAATCTTAGCATAGACCATCTGGCTGTTGCCCTGACTGATGGGCTAGAATGCAGCGAGAAGAGGCAAAAGGCTGCACCCGCTCAGCCCTGCAGGGTCAGGAGAAGCCCCCTGGGCATGACTGCCCTTCAGCCACCAAGTCCTCTATCCCACAGGCGGGGGTCCTCAGAGGGCCACGGTAGCTGGAGCCCTCGACCTCTCTTGGCTCCCCAGGGTGTCTGTGAACAGTGCGCCTTCTGGGGGCCCTGAAGACTGCAGAAGAACCCCTTTTGCTTGCCTGGACTGGGGTGGGGGATACAGCTGCCAAGAGTCCCATTCGAGGCCTGGTAGGGAATGGTGCAGGGTCTGAACTTGACCCTTCTCACTCTCCCAGGGGCTGCAATTGAGACCCCAAAGAGAGCTCCGCCCTCAGGGCAGAAGGCCAGGGCTGCTCCCCTCCTTTCTGGGGGGAGGAGGGACATTTCAAGCAGGTGTCCCAGCAGTGGGGAAAGGGAAGTGGGGGTGCACACTGCGAGGGGCTGTGGGTGCTGGGCCCAAAGCATCTCCTATGGGCCATGACACCCACGGCAGGGCCACATTTCCAGGGACTGGCATGGAGGAAGAGTTGCAGGGAGGGACTGGGGCAGGTGCGTGCCCAGCTGGGGGCCCTGAAGGGAGACAGGTCCCATCCCCGGGCTCCAGAGATGCCACCACCCAGGGAAGCCTTGGCTGTCCCAGCCACACCTAATCCTGCCGCTCAGAGTTTGCATAATTTAATCAGTGTTCACCTCCCTTCTTGAGCAGATGAGGAAACTGAAGCTCAGATGCGGACAGGCAAGGCCGAGCCAGGCCCTTGGTGGCTTCTGGGAGCCCCTGCAGCCAGGGCGGGTGGTAAGGGCTGTGGCCTGGGACTGGTCACTTGGGCCCTGCCACCTGGGCTGGACGTCCAGACAGGCGGGTGGTCCTCTCCCAGCTGCAGCTTCTCAAGGTGTCCAAAAGGGACCCTTGCCACACTTGCAGGGAGTCAGAGCTGGCCCCAGGGCATGAGCTTAGGCCATCTGGTCTGTGATCTGCCCCAGCGCTTGCGGCCAGGCCAGCCCATTGTTCCCCAGCCTGTTCTCTCTCTTGCCTGGGTGGTGCCTGCTGGGAACCACAGGGTGTTGGCAGCCACCCATGGCTCCAGAGAGGTGGGCCCCTACTGAAAGTGTTAGAGGCATGTGCTGGGGGACTTGGCTCCTGAGTCCCCACACAGAGCTGTTCCAGGGAAGCCACACCCGCATTTGATGTCTTCCCACCTCCCAAAGACATTTGGTGAGAGGCCCCCAAGACCTTCAGCTTCTCAGGACTGTTTCCAGAGGGGAGAAAGTCCCTTAACCCACAACGGTGCTCAGGGTACCTCTGCAGGTGAGTGTCCTGTAAGTGGATGCTCAGGCGCTGAGCCACGGAGAGCCTGTCTCCTGGCCCCAGGCTGGCGAGGGCATTCATCCCAGGCCCAGGGCTGAGGTTGCTCCCTACAGCACTGGGTGCAGGTGTCCATCCTCCTGTAGGTGAGGCTCCGGGTGGTTCGTCTGAGACAGTTCCCAGGAACTGGAGGAGGGAGAGCTGCTGCTTCCTGTTTCTGGCCTGGGAACCCTTGCTGTGCGTGTCTGGAGACGATGGAAGTCCGGTAGGGGCTAGGTGTGCAGTCTGGGAAGCTCCATACCACAGGCCCTGCCGTCAGCTGAGTAACTGAGGCTGGCTCATCTCAGCCCCCCAAAGGTGGGTTCAGCCAGACCCATATGGGGCCGCCAAGCCTCTGGTTCCAAAAGGGCAGTGCCCAGCCCTTTAGGCCTTTCTTCTTGGGTGGTGGGTGTGTCCAGCCCATGAGGGGCACAGGGCAGTGAGGAGGGTCCCCATCTCCATCCTGGACAGAGAGCCTGCTCCATGGGAGGTCCCAGGGGCCAGGAGGGCCCCTGTGGTGCTGGGAGGGGAAGAGAGTTGTGAAGGGTGGGTTTGGGTCCCTGGAACCTGTGCATCCCCAAGACAGATGGGCCTGGAGCCTTCGGGGGCGGGGCCAGCTCTAGGGGCTTGTTTAATGCTCTGTGGTGGCTGCCTTAAAATACTTAATCATTTTTGGTCAGGCACGGTGGCTCAGGCCTGTAATCCCAGCACTTCGGGAGGCCTAGGTGGGCGGATCACTTGAGGTCAGGAGTTCAAGACCAGCCTGGCTAACATGGTGAAACTCCGTCTCTACTAAAAATACAAAAATTAGCTGGGCGTGGGGACATGTCCCTGCCCCCTGCCCCTTGTGCCCGCCCTCTCCCTCCCCCTGCCCCTTGTGCACACCCTCTGTACCCCCCTTCCCGCCCCAGCCTGTGTTTGCAGTGCTACAGGGTGGCTGCAGCCTTCGCCTCCCACAGCTCCTCAAGGTCAGAGGGCTGGGAACCCCTGGGATGTGGCTGGGATGAGGACCCTGCCCCTCGTCAGGCATTTCCAGGCAAGGGGCACAGAGACACAGCCAGCCCAGCAGCTGAGCCCCTCCTATCAGGCCAGGTGGGAAACTGAGGCATGAACACAACCCCAGACTGGAAATAACAAAGCCATCATGTACTGTGTGCCTACTGAATGCCAAGCCCTATGCCCTATTCTTTAATGTCATCTTTAATGAGATGTCTTCACTCAGTTCACCACATGATAGTAGACAGGTATTTATGATGCGCCTACTGCATGCTGGGCACTTTTCTGGGCCATGAGGACTCAGGGAGGTCCCTGCTCTGGTAGAAGTCAAACCCGACAGGAGACAGAGACTAGGGCCCCACACACCAGGAGGAAGAACCCAGTGCAGAGAGTGCCAGCAGGAAGCCACAGGGGCAGGGAAGGCGCTCCTGGGAGGGTGGGTGGCTGCGTCCTGAGGCTGAGCAGGGGGAGCCGGCCTAGGGACAGGATGTGCGCAGGCGTGGAGCAGGAAGTTCCTGGAATGATGGGCAAGAGGGAGCAGGTCACTGGGGGCAGGTCTAAATACTGGGGGCTGCATTGGGATAGCAGAGGCCTCGGACAGGCCCGCTCAGCATGTAGACTCCCCTCCCTGGCCCCTTCCCTAGGATGACAGTGGAGGTCCATCCCCAGGTGGTGGTGAGGACACTCCTGACACAGAGACCCCAGCCCAGCTGGCAGGGGAAGGGGAGCCCTCAAGGACCCCTGTAGGTTGGGGCATGTCCCGCCAGGCGGCCCTCCATGGTGCCCAGCAGCAGCCCTGCTTGCGGACCCTCTTTAGTCCCCACTGTTAAAAAAATAATTCAGTGAAAATTGACACTAGCTGGGCATGGTGGTAGGTGCCTATAATCCCAGCTACTCGGGAGGCTGAGACGGGAGAATCGCTTGAACCAGGGAGTCGGAGGTTGCAGTGAGCCGAGATGGCACCACTGCATTCCAGCCTGGTGACAGAGTGAGACTCCGTCTCAAAAAAAAAAAAAAAAAAAGAAAAGAAAAAAAGAAAAATGACACTTGCCAAAGCGCCGTAGGGAAGACTGTCCAGGACCGTGTCACTAGGCATAAGGGACCACGGCGATGAGATTCTGCAGTGGGTAAGAGACTGGGCTCAGCCTCGAAGACAGCATGGGCAAGTGGGATCGGACCGTCAAGGAGCAGGGGGAAGACTATCCAGGACCGTGTCACTAGGCATAAGGGACCATGGCGATGAGATTCTGCAGTGGGTAAGAGACTGGGCTCAGCCTCGAAGACAGCATGGGCAAGTGGGATCGGACAGTCAAGGAGCAGGGTGGGGGGCAGTGCATGGAAAGTGACTAAGAGGAAGCATCAGCAGCCAGGGATTCTGGCTTAACTCCCCTAACAGAATTCTTGCTGAAGGCCGGCCAGGATGGCCAGACCGCACCTGGGGGACAGAGGGGGAACCCGATCAGATGTCAAGGACGGGGGGCTTCTCGCTAAACTGACTTTGCAGAATTCTTGCTAAAACTAGAGTTTATAAGGAAGTGCTCAGATGTGCCTAGGAGAAGGCTCAGGAGCCTAAATAAAGCTTGACCAAGCAGAGAATCTTTGTCACCAGCTTGGTGAGAGTGAGGCCCAGAGTGGGTCAGGGCTTACCTGCTCAGGTTGTACAACTGGGAGGGGTCCGTCAGGAGCCTGGAGTCTTCCCACTGGGGGCTGAGTCTGGGCCCTCAGGGCACATATAGGTAGATGCTGTCAGGCCCGACACCCCATGCAGTGCAGACTGGGATGCTGGTGCCTGTGGCACAGACTGGTCAGACCCACCCCAGGCTAGACATTCCTTGCAGGGAGAGCTGAGGCTGTTGATGCCAGGAACAGACAAACAAGGTCATCACCAGGTAATGAGCTCGTTACCCACATCAGGCAAGGCCATTGCTGGGTAATCATTTGGCCTCCTGCAGAGCCACCTGCCCTGGGACGGTTCCCAGAGATCTGGCTAGCCAGTGCCACAGGAGGCCGGGGCACAGTTCCAGGGCCTAGTGGGCAAGGCAGGGGTATTCAGGGACAAGGTGCACCTGAGTCCCCACAGGAAGCCCCAGACCCTGCAGTAAGACCTGGAACAAGTCATTCTCCTCTCTAAGCTCTCAAAGAAGAGGTCAGCTCAGGGGTCGGGGAGGCAAGGTCTCCTAGAGTAGACTAAGCTGGCCGCTGCCATGCTAACACACACCCTCCCAGCCAGCCGCTGGTCCTGACAGATGAGGAAACTGAGGCTAGGTGTTTTCATGAGGCCTCTGAACCCAGAACCCAGTACCCAGTGTCCTGAGCAAAGCCCAAGCCAGACCTGCCAGCTTATGTGTACAGAGGCCCCACTATGCAGCCTGCACTCCTGGGGCCTAAAAGGACCATCACCTCCCCTTCTAAGAGGCTGGGCACAGGGGCTGGGTCCCAGCCAGGCCACCCTTCCTCCTCCTCCAAAGGCCCAGCAGCAGCTGCTCCCAGAGCAAGCAGCACAGTCGCAGCAAAGGCTGGACAAGTGTCCTGTGCTCTGTGGTCTGAGCAGAGGGCCAGGGGCCGTGACCCACATGGCCCCTCCAGGAGCAGCTCCAAGATGAGCCTTCCTGTCCCCACCAGTGTGTCCGGGACCTCAGGGTGGATCAGCCGCACCTGCCGGCTGCTCCTGTTCCTTGCTCTTCCTGGGGCTCCCCACCACCTTTGGGAGGCAGCTCCAAGACCCTGCTGCCTCCCTTGCTTACCCTCAGGCCCCTGCTGGGTGTGCCCCCTCCCCACACAGACCCCTGAGCCAGCTTCGAGGACTCTGCCTGCATCTCCACGTCCACTCTGATGACTGTGAAGCTACAGTCACACTCTCTGCCTCCACCCCCGCCCTGCCGGGTCCCTGCAGCAGCTCTCAGAGGCCCCCACAGCCCCTCCCACACACAGAGCTCGCCTGGCCCTGCCGTCTGAGCGCTCCCCTGGCTCCCAACCGCCCTTGGGCTCTGGGACATAAAACCTCCAGCCAAGGTGGCTGCCAAGTTTTATTTAATAGCCATAGAGCACAAAAGGGATGACAATTAAGTCACACGGAGAGACTGCCCCATCGGGACCCCTGGCCAAGCTAAGCAGAGGAGCCCTGGGGTTTCCTCTGACCCCCCACTGTGAATGCATTACTGACGGGCAAGGTGGCCAGTTGCCCACCCAGCCTGCACGTCTGCATGCACAGAGCTACAGCCTGGGCCCAGGGACAGCCCCGGGAGCCGGTGGCTTCCCACAGGCACAGCCAGCCTCCCCACCCCCACCATGCCTGGCCCCCGGCCCAGGGCACACTGAGGGGAACAGGAGGGGAAGGAGCAGGCCCTGCACTGGAGCCTCAGTCAGCTCCTCTGTGCCAGGGGCAGCTGGAGCTGGCTGAATTTGAGGAACTTCCCGGAGGAACTGGAGAGCAGACCTGTGTGCGCGCCCCGCTCTGCCACGTTCCCTGAGGGACACACTGCTTTGACCAGCCCCCACCCCATCTCCTCTCCGCCAGTCCCCGGTGTCCACCCCAGCCCCGCTACCGATGAAGCTCAAGCCAGGGTCCCCATCACCTGCTTCACGGCCATCCCTGCACTTGAGCTCAGGGGCTCAGGGTTGTGCTGACACGCCTGCCTGTCCACCCCTCACCGACACCTCTGCAGTCCTCCTCAGGGCCCAACAGGGTCCCCAGGACCCCGCTCCCATTCTGCCCTTGCTCCTGCCAACCTGTCTTCTCTATGCCCATGACTTTGGGACCCTCTGCCATAAGTACCAGCCCCCACATCTGTAGCCTCTGCAGGAACAAGCCCTAATCTGGACTCATTGCAATGGCTCAGGTTCTCTTCCAGCCTGTCCATAGACCTCCAGGCAGAGATCACAAAACTAACAGCTCTTTCTGCAAATCTGGACTCTCTCCTGCACCTTCGCCACCATCCAGGCCTCCCTGTCACTCCTCCTGGGGACCTCAGAGATCTCTTCATTTCACAGGTGAAGACTTGGCTCAGAGAGGGCAGAGCCCCTGGGTCACACAGCCCGTCTCCAGTAGGGCTGGGGAAAAGAACCCAGGGCGCTCTTGTTGGCAGTGTTTTAATGACTGGGGGGAGGGAGAGAATGGCTAATGAGGCTCTAGGGATCAGCAGAGCCAGCTGCTGGAGGTCCCAGAGGACGGGTGACTCAGCAGGAATGGGGGAGTCTGAGGGGTTGACAGAGTGCCCAATTCTCACCTCCTCCTGCACCTTCCAGGGAGACGAGCTGCAGGGAGTGATTGAGTGGATGAACATGACTAGAGGGACCCAGTCTTCTCCTCAGCAGCTGCTTGAGGACAGTATTAGCGGTCCCCTCAATCCCCCCCCCAACACATGCACACATGCACTGATCTGCAGGGGCCAGACCCCAGTGGACCCGGGGACACAGCTTCCAGGGGCTGTCTTGCCATGTCCCTTCCCAGACCTGCCTGGATTCATGCCAGGCCACCCTCCACAATTTGCTGAGGGAGGCCCCAGGGTCCAGGGCACCCAGAGTGCTAACTAGCCCCTGGGGGTACAGGGAGAACAGCATGCTGTGTGGGGGATACTACTCTGCCCATACCTAGGGCCCTGTGGCGGCCACAGGCAGCACTGCTTATGCAGAGGCACTGGGGTGAGAAGGAGTAGGGTGCAGTAGTGAGGGCTCCACAGAGGGTGGAAGGGCTGCAGGGGAAGGCAGACCAGCAGGGATGCCATGAGGGCCTCAGATGCCAGGCTGCAGAGGTGGAGGGGCTGGCCAGCTCCTCTCCCCAGCCTCCTACTGTAAAATGGGAGAGGATCCCAGCCCTGCTGATTCATCCACTCACTCCATGGCAAGACAGCCACTGACAGCTGTGTCCTGGGGCCCACCCGGGCCTGGCCTCTGTGCAGGCTAGCACTCAGCATGCTTAGTGCCACACTCGGCCCAGGAGAAATGACCCAGCCCTGGGCTCAGAGACCCCACAGTGGGTGGATGGAAAACAGAGTCATTTAAATACAACTGTGAAGGGTGCTGTGGAGGAGGGGCTCGAGGTCCCCAGTGTGGGATGGGGTGGTCATGGAACATTTCCCTATCTAAGTGGGAAAAGTGAGAGCCACCAGGAAAATGGCAGGGGTTGGGGGGAGAGGAACTGTGCAAAGACCCAGAAGGATGAAGAAGACTGTTGGATTAGAGGAGGTTAAAGACACAGACAGGCTTGGACATGGTGGCTCATGCCTGTAATCCCAGCACTTTGGGAGGCCAAGACAGGAGGATCACTTGAGGCCAGGAGTTCAAGACCAACCTGGGAAACACAGTGAGACCCTATCACTACAAAATAAATAAATAAATAAAATAAAATAAATAAAAATAAAAATAAAAAAAGCCGGGCATGGTGGTGCACGCTTGTAGTCCCATCTACTCAGCAGACTGAGGTGGGAGGATCGCTTGAGCCCAGGAGATGGAGGCTGCAGTGAGCTATGATTGCACCACTGCACTCCAGCCTGGGCAACACAGCAAGATCCTGTTTATAAAAACAAAACAAAACAAAAAACCCAGCTTGAGATGGCCAGGGATTTCCAGAGGCCCTAGGCGGGCCACCTTGGAGAGTAAGGGAGACCCTGAAGAGCTCGCATGGAAGGACCAGCAGCTTGGGGCTGGAGATGCCACCTGGATGGATTCCTCCAGCTGTGTGGACTAGGGGACAGGGTGAGGAGATAATGGCCTGGACTACATGGAAGGACGTCGCCCTGAGCCATTGAAAAGGGCTGTGGGGTCCATGACCACTCCTGGCCTTCCCTTGACTATGATGGAGACAGTAGCTTCTAGTGTAAAATGTGAGCTCAGTTCCTGACTCGTGTCTAGCGGGTGGTGCCTGGTCTTTGGCTGGCGATGCTCCATGTCACCTATGCCCAGAAACTGGGCCATGCCCTTTGTGAGGACCTGCCCACAACGTCGTTGTTCCCGCAGGGTCCCCGGGGAACCGGGCTGCCCGGGACCCAGCCCTGCCAGGGTTCCCTGCGGCCCAGGCCGGAACCCCCAGGGCTTTGGTCGTTCCCAAAGCCGTCCCGCGGGCCCCCTCCACGGTGCGTCGCCTGGGCCCCAGCGATGGCTAGGCTGCAGCCTGGGGCTCCCGGCCATCCCGGGCGCTGGCGGCGGTGGAGGCAGCAGGGCGGATGGCGACGCCCGGCCGCCCGTGGGCCCAGGCGCGTAGTGCGTACAGAGCCAGCGAGGTGCTGCGGCGCGTCACGGGCCGCCGGCGGGACCCGGGGCCGCAATCCAATGGGCCGGGCCGGGAAGACGCCCGAGCCCCGGGCCGGCTGGCTCGCCTGCTCCGCCAGCTCCGGGCCGAAGCGGCTTCGCGGTCCGAGGTGCCGCGGCTGCTGAAGCTGGTGGAGCGTGCGGGGGCCGGGGCGGCGGGCGCGGGCGAGAGGACCGGCGCGCACAGCCGCGGCTCCGTGTGCTCAGTATGCGGGGAGCCCCGCGGCAGGGCCACCTACCCGGCGGGGGTCCTGGAGGTCAGCGAGCGGCGGCTGCAGGAGGGACTCGCGGCAGTGCGCGAGGAGCTGGGCGCCGAGATTGAGGCGCTGCGCGCGGAGCTTCGAGCGGAGCTGGACGCTCTGCGCGCGCTGCTGCCGCCGCCGCCGCCGTCCCCGCCTGCCCGCCGCGAGCCCCGCGCCGTCCCCCGCGCCGCGCCCCGCGGCCCGACCCTGCTGCGGACGCTCGGCACCGTGAGCGCCCTGGTCGCCGCCTCCAGGCCCGCAGACGACGCCCCGGACGGCCCAGCAGAATGCGGAGCGCACCGAGCCCCGGCCAGGAAGAACCACAAGAAGATGCCAGTGCCGCCTGGGGCCCCGCAAGGTGGCGGGGACTGAGGGCGGCCGCACAAGGGCAGCCTAGGCGAGGTGCGGAAGGCGTCGCGCTGGCTACTCTGGTACCCCCAGGACGGGGCAAGTGAGCAGATCGGTCCCCCTCGTGTAGCGTGGCTCTGAGTCAGAAGGGTGCCCGGGTGCCGCCAGTTAGGGCTCCGGTACTGGAGGGAGGGGGTGGGCGCGGGACGGGCGGAGGGTGGGCCACGTGCGTCTGGGGAGTGCGGATGGGAGCCGGGGTCCTTGCGAGAGACTGAGTCCGGCTAGAGAACAGGGTGGAGCCCCTTTGGACCTTAGAGCTGGGCCTTTGGGCCTTGGGTCTGGGTCAGCCTTTGGGCCAGGGCTGGGTCAGCCTCCAGGGGAACAGCCGAGACTCCTCTTCCTTGGGGTGACTGCACGTTCTTTTTCTTTCAAGGTCTCAGTGACGAGGCAGGGTCTCCACGCACTGGAATAGTGTCAAACCACACACAAGGGCACAGAACCCAGGGACACAGGGCGGCTGAGACACGCAGCTGGTGATGGCCCTCAGGACGGTGTCAACCAGTATGTAATCACATTCCACACGGCACCAATTGGACAGCGGCCTCCGGTCAGCCTCACTCTGACTGCAACCCCCTCTCACTGGACAGCATCACCTGGACACAGAGCCTCACCTAGTCTGTGTCCCGTGGACACAACTTTGCTTTGGACAGTGACACCAAGAATACTCACCCCTTTACTTAGCCAGACCACAGGCAGCCACCGGGACACAAACATCTCTCCAGAGTCACCCTCCACACAGACTCCACAGCAGAACTCCCAGGGAGGCACTGGGGCATGGCTTCAGAGCACCAGGCAGCGCTCCGCGGTGCCCAGCACCCGCTCAGCCAGGGCAGCCTGCAGCGGAGCCTGGAGCCAGCAGCTTCTCATCTCTTGGCCTCGGGAAATGTAGCTGGAGTCATCATTTAGCAGAGCACGGTGTCCCTGGGTTGGCCACCCAGCTTAGTTTTAAAATAAAATAATGTAATCTTGGCCTAATGGTGGAATTTCTGACTGCTAGATGTTCTCCTTCCATCTGACCAGGGGATTCAGACACAATGTATAGGATGAGGGTGGGGGCCCTTCTCCCTCTGAGAGGAACCTGGAGAGGCCCGGGTTCTGCTGAGGTAGGAGAGGGTCACTCAGAGGGCTCCCACGGAACAGACAGGCACACTGAGGCCTCAGTGGGATTAGGGCAGGAAATGCCCCTCTTGCAGTGGGGGACCGCGCCGGGTCACGCACCCACCCCCTCCAGGCCACATTAGGCTAAGGTCACTCTGTGCATTATTTCATTATTTCACACGGAGGGTCGCCCACGGTTGACAGAACCACAAGCTGAGCCCCAGGCGCATCAGAGCGCAGTGCACACCTGCTAGGGTGGGGGAAGAGCGGGGGGCTGCTGCGGGGACCGAGGCTCTGGGGGAGGCCAAGACTGTGTGCCCCTTAAGAGGCTGCTGTGGGCCAGGCGCGGTGGCTCACGCCTGTAATCCCAGCACTTTGGGAGGCCGAGGCGGGCGGATCACGAGGTCAGGAGATCGAGACCATCCTGGCTAACACGGTGAAACCCCGTTTCTACTAAAAATACAAAAAATTAGCCGGGCGTGATGGCGGGCACCTGTAGTCCCAGCTACTCAGGAGGCTGAGGCAGGAGAATGGCATGAACCCGGGAGGCGGAGCTTGCAGTGAGCTGATTCCACCACTGCACTCCAGCCTGGGCGACACAGCAAGACCCCGTCTCAAAAAAAAAAAGAGGCTGCTGTGGGCGGAAGTTACCCGTGAGCGGTATGGGGTGAAAGTGGGAGGGTCCAGCCTGGGGCACGGTGTGGAACAGGGTCATCTGAGGGTGCAGGGCAAAGAGATCAAAACGGGGTGGGAGAGGGGCAGCGCCTGCGGGAGGAGCCAGGCAAGGCCCGGGGAGGGGTGTGGGGGGCGAGGGGGGACGGTGGCTCCACCTGCACCCACCGGATGGGTATGGGGTCCTCGAAGACGGTCCAGAGCACCGTGGGCTCGCAGTCAGGCGGGGTCAGTGACCCAGCGAAGCGACAGTAGCTCGAGGTGTTGGGCCGCATCGACGCCAGCAGGAAGGTGGACATCAGATTCACTGAGAGCCCCAGGCGGCAGAGGGAGGGGGATTGGAACCAGCCTCCCCGTGCCCTGCTGGTGCCATCCCCAGCAAACCCCCCGCCCCTGAGCCGGAAAACGACCCGGTGGCTCCTCACCTGGCTCAGGCACCTTCCTCAAGCCCGACACTATGGCGCAGAAGTTGGTGTTGCTACAGTCCTGCTCCTGGGAGGGGCTCCAAGTGCAAGGGGTTCTGAGTGGGGGAGTCTCTGAAGAGGGAACTCAGCTGGGATACTCTAAGCAGGAGGCTCCCAGTGGCAGGAGGCATCTGGCATCTGGGAAATGGGGTGGAGGGTTCTCGCCGCCACTGGCCCTGCCGATTCAGGCATTCCCACCGCCCTATCCTCCCACAGATCCTATAGACCCTAGAGATCCCCCCATGGACTCCACAGGCCTAGCCTGTCCACTTCCAGGATCCCCATGGACCCCTTTTTTGGAAACATACATAGAATCACAGCCCTGCCTTCACCGCCAGCAGCACCTCCAGCAGCAGGGCCTGCACTCGAGCCCATCACCGTGGCGTGGTGCCTCCTCCATGCTCTGGTACTTTGTGTTACTGTGGACCACATGCATCTGGGGGTAGGCACAGATGTGGGAGATACCCAGCTGCCCCCACCTTGCTCTCTCTCATCTCCGTGGGAGCACTCCGGCCACCCCACCTTGTGCCCAAGTCTACCTCCATAGCCTGGCGCTGCCTGTCCAGGCTGTGCTCTGAGTCTGCTCGCCTCGGGCCCCCCCCCCGCCCCCAGCTGATGTGCAGCCGCAGTGCGCGGTAGACAGGCAACAGCAGCCCAGCCTCCCAAATCTCCAGGTGGTTCTGAGGATCAGTGTCCATTCAGAGTAGCAATGAAGGGGAGGAGGCACACGACACCCTCTCTACCTCACCACCTGCCCACCTTGTGCCATTAGAGCACAGGGTACGAGCAGAGGCCCTTCCTCAGGCCAGGCTGCTCCCCAGTGGGGCCCCATTGCCTCCATGGAATGGAACCCATGGTGTCCATGGCTCCTGCTGGTCAGCAGAGCAGAGTTCCACAGACTGCAGGGGAAACCCTCCCCCACACACCCAGCATGGCATGGAAGAAGGCAGAGGGCAGCCCTCCTGGGGTGGGGCTCTGAGCCCAGCTGTGTGTGGTCAGGGATCCTGGCCCTGCCAGAGACCCTGACTCCTGGTCCTCAGGGGCCATGGCTGGTTGTGATTTGTAGGGTGGGACCTGGCACCTACACAGAGGGCGCATCTGGACTGCTGTGTGAGGATGCTCCTTTCCTGTGAAGCTAGCCCCTGTGGAGGGTTTTTGGCCCTGTAGGATGTCTCAGCTCCCGTGTGTAGGGGGTCCTGGTCCCTGTGTACACTCAGGAGCTCTCATGCCCTGTGTGGGGCTCCTGCTCCTGCCTAGGAGGGGTCCTGACCACAGGGTGCTGACCTGTGTGGCTGTCATTCTCCAGGGTCCAAGGGCCTGGAGGTGCTGAGTCATAGCCTCGGAAGATGAAGGGCCCTAGGGTAGAGTTCCGCCGGACCCTGTGAAAGTCAATGTCGATGAGGGACTGGCCTGGGCCCCCACAGGCAGGGGCCAGCTTCTTCCAGTGGGTGGGGACTGCTGGAACAAGGACTGGGGCCTTTGGGGTGGGGGTGGGGTCAGGGAGGCAGCCTGGGGGTGCAGCAGAGAGTGGCCCCCATACACCCAGAGGATAGCCCAGCCTCAGGAAACCCAGCTCCCTGCTTCCCCCACACCTGAACAGGTCACAGCATCCCCCTTCTCTTGTACCCTGCATCTGGCCTATCCATCTAGTCTCCCGGTTGGCTGCCCCATGGTGAGATGAAGGCAAAAGAGTCTCTGGCACACAGTTGCACACCCACACTGGGACCTCTATCACCTGCACACACTTGGGCTGGCCACAGTAACAGGCACACCAGCCTTGACTGACTCGGGACCGGCGATCACAGCAGGCCCAGACTCACACACAGGGGGACAGTCACGCACTTGCACCTGATGCCCAGTCAGTCTACTGGGGCAGACGACTACAGACAGAAACCTGCAAAGGCCACAGAGTGCAGGGTGCAGACTGTCTCTTGGCCACTCTTGCACCACTGGCACATGCTCTGGTGGTCCCAGGACACAGACTGATCTCACTCAGCCTCACATGACACTCTGTCCTCACCACACTTGGGGTCCTGGGAGTCGTAGCACCAGGCACCTATAGAGACAGTGGGCAGGAGGCTGAGCTGAGAGACCAGTCATCTGGGTCCTCTCCAAGCCCCATCCCATCAGCTGGGGTCCAAGAATGAAGTAGGCCAGGGGCTTAGGCCAGGGGAGGCCAGTGAAGAACCTTCTCTCCTGTCACCCCTACCCCAGTATTTTCTCTCCCCAGTCCCTCCCCACTCCCAGTGGCAAGACCTAAGGGGTGGTGGAGCATGGCAAGAGGGTAGATTGGAGACCAGACGGGAAGAGTCCTGGTGCTCACTCTCAGAGTCTGCGCCACACCAGCTGCACTGCAAGGCGAGCATGATGCCAGGGGCGTGCGTGGCTCAGTGGCAGCCGCAGCTAGGAAGGACTAGAAAGTGGCTAGACCTCGGAGCCAAGATGCTGGCCTGGCTACTACATATTTATTCATTAGCTAGCTGGGCTAGGGGCGTGGCTATTGAGGAGAGGATGGGAGGGGTCGGTGCCCAGGCAGGGCCACCAGGAAGAGCGCGAGCGCTCCAAACTCACCCAGGTGTGCTGTGGTCCCAGGGCTGCACTGATGCCAGCAACAATCGCTGAGGTTAATCCTGCAGGGGAGGGGTGACCTATTATTATCCCCACTTACAGTCCAGGAAACAGAGGCTGGGGACCAGAATGACACACCAAAGCCACCAGCAAGAAAGGTCAAATAGTGAGGGCACCTTGAACCCCAGCGCTCATGACTTTCGGGGCAAGGATGGGAGGAAGGTGTAGGATGTCTCTTGCCCCACTGTGGGCCTGGAACTGCCACCCCATCCCAAGACCACAGCCTCCCTCCTGCCCAGGCCCCCCTGCGGATCCAGGCCAAGACGGAGCCCTGCAGGAGGTCAGAGGAGGGGACTTCTTTGCACCCTGCGCCTCTTTCCAATCGCCAGAGGGCAGGGCCCTACCCACATTGGGGATGGGAAGTCAAATGCAGAAGTTAGGTGAAGTCAGTTCTTGGATACTCCTGTACTGTCACCCTGGTCTTATCTCATGCCTTAGCCCAAGCTGTGCACACAATGGGGTCCTAGGTCCCCCTCACCTCCCAGATTCCACCTTCCCAGGGATGGGACCCCCTAGAACCCTCGGGGGCCTGGGCAGTGGCCTTGCTGGCTCTTGCCTTCCTAGGAGCTGAGCAGGAGCTCCACTCTCAGCAGGGCAGTTCACTGCAGCCTCTGCTTCCTCAGCTCAAGCCATCCTCCCACCTCAGCCTCCTGAGTAGCTGGGAATGCAGACACACACCACCACGCCTGGCAAATTTTTGTATTTTTAGTAGAAACAGGGTTTCACCATGTTGCCCAGGCTGGTCTTGAATGCTTGAGCTCAAGCGATCTACCCACCTCGGGCTCCCAAAGTGTGGGAGCCAAGATGGGAACCCAAGCATACGGCCCCAATGCTGAGGCTCTGAACTACTGACCTGCCCTCAGCACTCAGCCTTGGGATCATGAGTCACTGTGCAAGGGAGTTCCAACATCTGCATGTATGTCTGGAATGATCTGAGCCTGCAGAGTTCCTACACACTGGCCACATTATAGGGTGGTGTCTGTGGTCACACAGCTCAGGTCAGGTATTTATTAGTACATGAATAGCTTAGCTGTGTCATAGTCTTTATGTGAAAGGCACATAAAAGGCACTTTGGCAGGCTCAAAGTGTGGGGATTATAGGTGTCAGCCACCGTGCCTAGCCCACTGGATGACTTATGATATCATATGTGACATTGTGACATCATGTGAGTCAGGGATGTACCCCGTTCTCAGCTGCTATATGCTATGTTACAGTGACAGAATGGGAATGAAGAATGTGTCCCACTCTCTCAGCTGTTGTATTATATCATACAAGGTGCAGTGACTAAGTGTGTCAGCTGTGTCCTCATCCTACATAGCATATGAGAGTGTGTGACGGGAGATAGGATGCAGACCTGAGAAGCATTAAACACCTAGGCAATAAAGGTGCCAGCATCAGCTGAGAGCGCAGGTAGACCTCAGTCACATTTGTTACTGTGTAACTAAAAATACAAAATTAGCTGGGTGAGGTGGTGCACGCCTGTGGTCCCCACTGCTCAGGCGCCTGAGGCAGGAGAATTGCTTGAACCCAGGAGGCAGAGGTTGCAGTGAGCTGAGATTACACCACTGCACTCCAGCCTTGGGGACAGAGTGAGACTGTATCTCAAAAAAATAAAATAAAATAATCTAGGACAACCAAGAGAAGGACTCAGGCTCACCTTACTCTATGTCACATGTGATATATAACACTTGAGGGGGACACACACTTGTCACTTTGTATCACTATGTCCTATATGATAGCCAATGATAACCCAAGAGGGGGAGGCAGCCTTGTTCACACCATGTCACTTATGATATTATATGACATCAAGGAGCCCAGACCTCAGTTGCATTATGTCACTATGGCACATACAGTATCATGCAACAACTGACAGAAGGGTTGTGGGCCTGATTCACAGTGTATGTGAGTCACAAATGTCACTTATGACACCATACAGCAGGTGAGAGGGGATAGTCATTATTCACCTCGGGTCACATTGTCACACATGATACCATATGATAGCAGAGGGGGATGCAGAACTGAGTTGTATTATGTCGCTATGTAACCTGTGATAGATGATAGCTGATGCGGGTGAAGACCAAAGTTACATTTTGTACCTACATTATATGAAATATACAACATGCACGAGGGAGGTGCAGACACAAATCACACTGTGTGCTGTATCCCATATATGTGTTTAATTTCTGTGTTTAAGAGAGCTGGGTTCATGAATGAACGTAGTCACTGCACCTTGTATGATATAATACAACAGCTGAGAGAGTGGGACACATTCCTCATTCCCATTCTGTCAGTGATTGACCACACCTTGTGTTAACTGTATGAGCCACTGTGTTTGGCCGTGTATAGCGCACGTGGCACATTGTTCACTGATACATATTTGCTCCGTACTGAAGTGAGGCAGATGCATGAGTGATTGAGAATAATGCTACCTTGGTGAAGCATTCCATTTAGAAGCATGAGGTTCAGGTACTACCATCTTCTGTGATACATATTTAAATGTTAAGTTTAACAGTTAGGTCTACCATGAGTGAATGAGCCTTGCATTATCTTTGAGAATCGATGTGTTTAGCAGGGTGTGGCTCATCTAAGATAGCCTTCTTTAATGCATGTTCACTATCTGTGTTTATTAGAAATAGGTTTGTGAATGACTTAGCATAGTGTTTTCCCTATGAAACCCTGTTTATTTATTTATTTATTTATTTTGAGATGGAGTTTTGCTCTTGCAACCCAGGCTGGAGTGCAATGGTGTGGTCTCGGATCACTGCAACCTCTGCCTCCCAGGTTCAAGCGATTCTCCTGCCTCAGCCTCCTGAGTAGCTGGGATTACGGGCGTCTGCCACCACACCCAGCTAATTTTTGTATTTTTAGTAGAGACGGGGTTTCACCATGTTGGCCAGGCTGGTCTCGAGCTCCTGACCTCAGGTGATCCTCCTGCCTCAGCCTCCCAAAGTGCTGGAATTACAGGCGTGAGCCACCACACCCGGCCAAAACCCTGTTTTAAGAAGTGTGTGGTGCAGGTACTACATTCTTTGTTGTTCCAAGTTCAAACCCTGTGTTTAACAGAGATAGGTGCAAGATTGCCTAGGTGTAGCGTAGACTCTTGGAAATACTGTGGTTAGCATTCTGTGTTTTCTGTAGCATAGTTTCAGTGATGCCTGTTTAGATAGTTTATCAGATCTAGGTACTAGTGTTATGTCAGCGAAACACTGTTTAGCTGCACGCGGTGCATGTAATACTTTGTTCATTGATATTTGTTTAAATCAATCAGTGTTTACCAGAACTAGATATGTGAGTTACTGAGAATAGCCTAATCTCTGAAAATGTTTTCCAGCCTATGGTGCATGTAATATACTCTTCTATGGTACCTCTTTCCAATGTTTTTATTGTGGCAAAATATACATAACAGATTATACCATTTTTAAGTGTAGAATTTAGTGGTAGTAAGTATAGAGAGAACCTTAAAAGCAGCAAGAGAAAAGTGACTTCTCATGTGCAAGGGAGCCTCTAGAAGATTATCAGTGGATATTTCAGCAGAAACCCTGCAGGCCAGAAGGTGGTGGGATGATACATTGAAAGTACTGAAAGAGTAAAGCCTGCCAACTGAGAATACTATATTTGACAAAACTGTCCTTCAAAAGTGAAGGAGAAATTAAGACATTCCCAGATAAATAAAAGCTGAAGGAGTTTATTACCACTAGACCTGACCAATAAGAAATAATAAAGGGGCCAGGCACAGTGGCTCATGTCTGTAATCCCAGCACTTTCGGGGGCCGAGGCAGGTGGATCACCTGAGGTCAGGTGTTCAAGACCAGCTTGACCAACATGGCGAAACCCCATCTCTAATAAAAATACAAAAATTAGCTGGGTGTGGTGGCACGCACCTGTAATCCTAGCTACTCAGGAGGCTGAGGCAGGAGAATCACTTGTACCCGGGAGGTAGAGGTTGCAGTGAGCTGAGATCACACCACTGCACTCCAGTCTGGGCAACGGAGCGAGACTTCATCTCAAAAAAAAAAAAAGAAACAATAAAGGGAGTCCTTCAAGTTGATATGAAGGGATACTAGACAGTTGCTCAGCCTGATGAAAATATAAAGGTAAATACATAAAGATTAAAACCTGTATTATTGTAATTTTTGCTAATAACTCAATTTTTAATACTTTAATGGAATTTAAAGGACAAAAGCATAATAATTATAAATCTATGTTAATGGATACAAAGTATATAAAGTTTAATTTGTGACATCAGTAACTTAATAGTGGGGCAAAGATGTAAAGAGTAGAGGTTTTGTATGTGATTGAAGTTATCTGTTTAAAATAATAAGATAACTTTAAGATGTTCCATGTAATTCCCATAGTAACCACAAAGAAAATACCTACAGAATATATGCAAAAGGAAATGAGAAGGAAATCAGAGCATAGCACTACAAAAAATCAACTATAACACAAAGGAAGACAATAAGGGAGGAAAGAAGGACAAAAAGGCTCTAAACATACAGAAAACAATGACCAAAATGGTGGTAGTAAGTCCTTCCTAATCAATAATTTCATTAAATGTGCATAGGTTAAACTCCCAATAAAAAGACATAAATCGGCTGATTGGATTTAAAAAAACGGGATTCAACTATATATGCTGTCTACAAGAGACTCATTTGAAATCCAATACAAATGGGTTGAAAAATGAGAGAATGGAGAATATTCCGTGCAAAAAGTAACCAAAACAGATCAGGAATGGCTGTACAAGTTATGGCTGTACAAGTTGTTGGGTTTTATGTTACTGAAGAATGAACAGAGATGAGTAAGTGGAGGTGTTATGTAAAGGCATACTGTACTCAAAATCTGAAGACCTGCAGCAGATTTAAATTCCAGCTCTTATTATAACTTTTTAAAAGATTGTGAAAATATCAAAATATAGATGAATCAAGTTTTAATATACTGTATGATGGGTGGATGAGGCTGTCCATTGTACCATTTGTTTGAATTCTCAGGCATGGTTTGGCAGTGCAAGAACTCTGTAACGTTAACAAATTCAATAAAAAGTAAATATATGGAAAAAAAAGTATAGACAAAATAGATTTTAAGTAAAAAACTATTACAAGAGAGGGTTCTGGGAAGAAAGTGGAGTAGGAAGCACTGGGAATTCATCTCCCCACCTAGAAAATAATCACACTGGCAGAATCTGCCTGATATAACTATTTTGGAACTCTAGACTCTATCAAAGGAGGCTTGTAACCTCCAAATGAAGGCTTAAACTATAATTTTTACTTAATTTTGGTCAATTTCAGCTCTTAGCTCAGCAGTGGCTACCCAATCCCCATGCCCCAGCTTCACGGCAAGAAGCTTTGCATGTGTTCCTGAAGCAGCTTGTACCAAGCTTGTGGGAACAATCATGGGCAATAAGCACTCTGTCCTCCAAGTGTTAGCATCTGCGTTCTGGTTGTTGATTGCTACTTTTGATTATGGAAGGGCAAACACAGAGGCTGGCAGCCATTATTGCTCACAACTCCCCACTCCACTGCTGCAAGCCCTTACCAGACTGAAGCAACTTCTAGGAGATAGAAAAGGCCAGAACCCCATTTCCCTTCCCCTTCATTGTTCTCTTTTCCTTTTTTGGGAGCCAAACATTAAAGACTAGGACACTCAAAAGCAATGGCATACCCAGAGGAAATTAAAGTTACCACACATCCTTGGAGAGAGGAGTGTGTGCCCAGGGAAAGGAGCAGCTTCAGACCTGAGAAGACCTCAAGCTTACAACTCAGGTTGATCCTCAGCATGGAGACAACCTACAACAATGTAAAACATAACAAAACCCCAAAACAGCAAACCCTGAGGAAGAGGAGAGTCTCATCTCCAGAGTTACTGCATTATTATATTCAAGTGTCCAGTTTTCAATACAAAACACAAGGCATACAAAAAACAAGAAAATATGGTATTTCAAAGGAAAAACAACAACAGAAACTGTTCCAGAGAAAGACCAGATGGTAACCTACTACACAAATACTTTAAAACAACTTTCTTAAAGATGGTCAAAGAACTGAAGGAAGATGTGGAGAAAGTCAGTAAAATTATGTGTAAACAAAATGGGAATATCAATAAAGAGATAGAAAACCTAAAAAGAAAAAAAATAAATAAATTCTGGAACTAAAAGTGTAGTGATTGAAATAAAAGTTCACCAGAGGGATTCAAAAGCAGATTTGAGCAACAGAAGAAAGATTCAGTGAATTTGAAGATGGGACACTTGAAATGATCAAGTCAGAGGAACAGAAATAAAGATGATTGTTGAATAGCAAGCAGACATTGTGGAAGTCCCAAAAGAAGAGAGGGAAAGGGGCAGAGAGATCATTTGAAGAAATAATGGCTGAGGCTGAACACGGTGACTCACACCTGTAATCCCAGCACTTTGGGAGGCCAAGGTGGGTGGATCACAAGGTTAGGAGTTCGAGACCAGCCTGGCCAATATGGTGAAACCCCGTCTCTACTAAAAACACAAAATTAGCCAGGTGTGGTGGTGCATGCCTGTAATCCCAGCTACTTGGGAGGATGAGGCAAGAGAATCGCTTGAACCCAGGAGGCAGATGTTGCAGTGAGCCGAGATTGTGCCATTGCCCTCCAGCCTGGGCAACAAGAGTGAAACTCCGTTTAAAAAAAAAAAAATTAGCTGGGCGTGGTGGCACGTACCTGTAGTCCCAGCTACTCAGGAGGCTGAGGCAGAAGAATCGCTTGAATCCAGGAGGCAGAGGTTGCAGTGAGCCAAGATCACACCACTGTACTCTAGCCTGGGCAACAGAGCGAGACTCTGTCTCAAAAAAGAAAAAAAAAAAGCTGAACACTTCCCAAATTTGATGAAAGACATGAAAATAAATATCCAGAAAACTCAATGGACTCCAAGTAGGATGAAAAAAAAAAAAAAGACTCATACTGAGACATTATAATTAGCCAGTAGGGCCTCTTGAAAGCACCAAGAGAGAAGCAACTAGTCACATGCTAGGAATATATAATAGGATTATAAGTAGATTTCTCATCAGACACTTTGGAGAACAGAAGACAATGGGATGACATATGTAAAGGGCTAAAAGAAAAACAACCACTACCTCTCAACCAAGAATCCTATATCCAGCAAAACTGTCCTTCAAAAGTGAGGAAGAAATTGGGAAATCCCCAAATAAACCAAAGTTGAGAAGTTTGCTACCATTAGACCTGCCCTGCAAGAAATCTTAAAGAGAATCATGCAGGTTGAAAAGAAAGAACACTAGATAGTAACTCAAAGCCATATGAAGAAATAAAGATGCCAGTAAAAGTAAATATATGGGAAAATATTAAATCTAGTATTATCGTAACTTTGGTTTAAAACTCCATGTTTTGCTTTCTACATAATTTAATAGACAAATGCATTAAAAACAATTATTAGTTTATGTTTATGGACACACAATGTACAAAAATGTAATTTTGTGACATTGATAACTGAAAGAGGAGTGGCAAAACTGTGAGGAGAGTTTTTGCATATTATTGAAATATAGCTGGTATGAATTCAAGTTAGAGTGCTATAACTTTAGAATGTTAAGTGTAATCCCTATGGTAACCACAAATAAAACATTATATAACATAAAAAAGTAAATGAGAAGGGAATTAAAACACTTCGCTACAAAAAATCAACTAAATACAAATGAGATCATGCAGGAAATGGACAAAAATGCTGTAAGGCATATAGAAAATGTATAGCAAAATGCCAGAAGTAAGTCCCCCCTTATCAGTAATTACTTTATTACTTTTTAAACCATTTTGTTGAGGAATGATTTACATAAAAACTGTACATATTTAACGTACACATCTTGATAAATTTACACCATAAAACCATTATCATCAAGCCTATAAACATATCCATCACCTTTTAAAATTTCCTTCTGCCTCTTTATTATTATTATTGTATAAAAAAAAGTTTTTAATGGCCAGGTGCGGTGGCTCACGCCTGTAATCCCAGCACTTTGGGAGGCTGAGGCAGGCGGATCACCTGAGATCAGGAGTTGGAGAGCAGCCTGGCTAAGATGGCAAAACCCCATCTCTACTATAAATACAAAAATTAGCTGGGCGTGGTGGCGGGTACCTATAATCTGAGCAAAGTACTGGGAGGCTGAGGTGGGAGAATCTCTTGAACCTGGGAGGCGGAGGTTGCAGTGAGCCGAGACAGCACCATTGCACTCCAGCCTGAGCAACAAGAGTGAAAATCTGTCTAAAAAAAAATAATAATAATAAAAGTTTTTAATTAAACAATTTAAGAATATAGTAACATTTTCTGTGGGTACTATGCTGTATAGCTCTCCAGAACTTACTTATCTTGCATAACTGAAATTTGTACACTTTAACCATCAACTTCCCATTTCCTTCTCTTCCCCAGCTCCCAGCAACCACCATTCTGTTCTCTTCTTCTGAGTTTGACGTCTTTAGGTTCCACACATAAGTGAGATTGTACAATATTTCACTTTCTGTGTCTGGCTTATTTTACTTAACATAATGCCCTCCAGTCCATCTATGCATAGAAATGCAACTGATTTTTGGATGTTGACTCTGTATCTTGCTACTTTATTGAATTTATTACTTCTAACAGTCTTTTAGTGAAGTCTTTACAGTTTTCTATACATAAAAATATGTCATCTATGGAGACCATTTTACTTCCATTCTTATTTCTTTACTTGCTTAATTGTTCTGGCTAGGACTTCCAGTCCTATTTTGAGGAGAAATGGTGAGAGTAGGAATTCTTGTCTTGTTCTTCATCTTCGAGGAAAAACGTTCAGTCTTTCACTGTTGAGTATGTTACATGTGGTCTTCATTATGTTGAGGTACATTCCTTCTGCACCTAATTTGCTCAGTTTGTTGTTTTTTTTAATCATGAAAGGATGTTGAATTTTATCAAGTGCTTTTTAATAATAAAAATAAAGGATTTTTATCGTTTATTGTGTTGATGTGGTGTATCACATTTAGTGACTCTTGTATGTTAAAGCATCCTTGCATGCCAGAGATAAATCCCACTTGATCCTGGTGAATAATTCTTTTTTTGTTTTTTATTTATTTATTATGTATTTATTTTTTTGAGATGGAGTCTCGCTCTGTCATCCAGGCCTGAGTGCAGTGGCGCGATCTCGGCTCACTACAAGCTCCGCCTCCCAAGTTCACGCCATTCTCCTGCCTCAGCCTCCCTAGTAGCTGGGACCACAGGCACCCGCCAGCATGCTCAGCTAATTTTTTTTTTTTTTGGATTTTTGGTAGAGACTGGATTCATGGTGAATAATTCTTTTAATGCACTGTTGAATTTGGTTTACTAGTATTTCATTGAGGATTTTTGCATCTATGTTAACCAGGGATATTGACCTATAGTTTTCTTATTTTGTAGTGTTCTTATCTGGCATTGATATCAGGATAATGCTGGCCTCTTAGAATGAGTTTCAATGTGTTCCCTTTTCTTCAATTTTTTTGGAAGAGTTTGAGAAGGATTGTTATTAATTCTTTAAATGTTTGTTGAAATTGACCAGTAAAACCATTTGGTCCTGGGATTTTCTTTGTTGGGAGATTTTTCATTACTGGTTTAATCTCTACTTATTTTTTCTGTTTTTTTTTTTTTTTTTAATTATACTTTAAGTTCTGGGGTAGCCGTGCAGAAAGTGCAGGTTTATCACTTAGGTATACATGTGCCATGGTGGTTTGCTGCACCCATCAACCCATCATTTACATTAGGTACTTCTCCTAATACTATCTCTCCCCTTGCCCCCATCCCCCAACAGGCCTCAGTGTGTGATATTCCCTGCCCTGTGTCCAAGTGTTCTGATTGTTCAACTCCCACTTATGAGTGAGAACATGCGGAGTTTGGTTTTCCGTTCCTGTAGTTTTCAGATGTGCTCTGGCCTCCAAGGACCATGAAGCCAGGCGGTGGTGGGGGGGTGTCCTCTGTATAAAAAGTGCTGTCCCAGGAACTTCCTGACGGACACTTTGGGGCATGTGAGCGATTCCTGGGGAGGGCACCTCGGCCTTCCTAAGGCTACCCCTGCAGCCAGTGCTGGCCATTCTCACCAGCAACCAACCAAAAAACATCAGAGTCCCTGTAAACCTGGTTGTGATGATAAAAACCAAATGTTTTCTAATCTAAGACTTGTATGCAGAACACAGAAAACTGCAGTTAAGGAACACCCTACAAAATTGACCAACAGTATTTTCCAAAAACATTTTTCATCACTTCAAATAATGTACAAAATCTACAAAAATCATATTTACCAGGACACATCTGTTAAATAAAAGCATTGTTTCGTGTTGGTATACATATACACAAGACTATGTATAACAGACTGTTTCCCCTCCCTGCAACCACAGAACCATCACACACAGGCACAGATACACGTCGGCTATGCCGCTTTCCACGAATGCATGGAACCCAGGACGCGAACCCACAGCTCGAGGTCTT
This sequence comes from Homo sapiens, assembly GCF_000001405.40. Taxonomy (NCBI): domain Eukaryota; kingdom Metazoa; phylum Chordata; class Mammalia; order Primates; family Hominidae; genus Homo; species Homo sapiens. The sequence continues at coordinate 18,650,025 of NC_000022.11, forward strand.
ATACCTTCACTACTGAGCTGCCGCCACTGCAGCAGCAACACCTCTGCGGAGGTGTCGCTGAAGTCACTGGTGTCCCTGCCCAAGGTGTCCTGGTCCTGGTCAACTCTACTGATTGACCCTTCGTGGATACCTCAGGTCTAAAATCCTTTCCTCCGAGCCAGAGCTCTTCCTGTTGTGCAAACTCAGCCCCGTCTGTACCTTCCTGCTTGGCCGGTGATCGCAGTCCTTCTTCGCCAGCAAGTGTGGGCTTCCAAAGACAGGGCTGGGCCTGGCCTGGGACTCCCTGAAGGCCGAGAAGGACAGGCCCTGCAGAGGCAGCCCCAGGTAGGGGCTGAAGAGGCCGGTCTCCCTGCCCCCCCAGGAGACACCCTTTCCAAAGTGGAAGAGCTGGGTGGACAGCAGCGGGGAGAAGCCCGCAAGGGGCAGGCTGGGCAGGCCCCGGGCGGGGCCCTCGGACCCCTTGTCTCTCTCTCCCAATGCCGCCCCCTCCACGCCGCATCTCTACCTTTGGAGCGCAGTGCCCATGGGCTGGGCAGCCGACTGTGGTGGGCAAAGTCACTCCAGGGCGGGGCGCGGTTGGCCTGGGCTCCAGCATCCCTCTCAGCTCCCGGGCTGGGGGTCAGGAAGCTCCGGTTCCTGCAGTCCACGTGAAAGGTCCCCCTGGCTCCTCCTGCCTCGGTGCCCGCTGTGGCACAGCTGGGCCGCTGACCAAAAGCACTTTTGGCAGCAGGCTCAGCCCCTCGTGGGCTCTGGTCTTTGTAAACGTAAACATTTCTCTTGCTCACTGAGAGACCTTGGCGGAGACACTGCCGCTGGTCCTCCTGGGTGGCGCATGATCCCCTCCGCCGGATCAGTGGGGAGCCCCTTCCCACCCTGGCTGAGCAGGCACGCTGCGCCCTGTGCTCCTGCGCTCCCTGCGCCTCGATGCCCTTTAGCCAAATGTGGGACCCCCCGGCCCTCTGGCTCCGTGTGCACATGCCAGGCAGTGGGGCCGGCTCCTTCCTGCAAGGTACCTCTGGCCTGGCTGGGCCCCCTGTCCCGAGAGCGGTGGGGCCCTCTGCCTGAACTTCTGAACTGCTCACCGACTCCTTGGCCTTTTCCACCAAAAACTTCCTAATCTCCAGTTCGATGCTATCGTCGCTGTCCACTGAACTGCTGTTGTCAGACAAGGAGCCAGGGCTGGGAGCTGGGCCCTGGGACTCTCTGGGGAATAGATTCTCTTCGGAGGCGGAGGCAGAAGCGGGTCTCCTCACCAGGAAGGCCGGGGCTTCGTCCTCTCGGCCCTGCTGCCAAAGACACTGGGGGGTTTCTTCCTGGAGCCCTCGCAGCTGTCTCTCTTGGACTTAGGCAGCTCTTCAGCACCTGCAGGTGCCTGTTTTTCCACTCTCTCAGGAGCCTGCCCAGCTGCTCCTGGAAGTGCGTCTGGGAGGTGCTGAACCTGACCTTCTTCCTGCACACAGCCCTGGGCTCCCTGGACCTCTTCTTGAGCTTTCACTTGGACCTTAACAAGTCCTTGATGGCTGTGTCCAGGTCCTTGTCACTGTCCAGGGAACTGCTTTTGTCTTCGGAGCTCTTCTTCTTGTCTAGGTGCCTTGCCTCGTCTGTCTTACCCTGGCCCTGTGACGTGCGAGTGTCACCGGGCACCCTAGCGGCGCCCTCTCCTCCCGGGGCCTCGCTGGCTGTGCCCTGGATGGAAAGGTCCCGCCCCTCATGGCCCGGCCCGGCTCTCCCCTGGCTGCGGTCGGCATCCTGGCCACCCTCTTTCCCCACCACCCGCATGTTCTTGGGAGTGGATGGCCTCACTTGGCAGCCGCCTCTATGCTTCCTTTTGCAGCCAGGAGTGGGTCCAGTGTTTTAGAGAGAGGGGCCTTGGGGCTGCCGGTCTGGCTGCTGAGGCCAGGTGGTGAAAGTGGGCCCTGGGCAGCCTGAGGGCAGCTCTCACCTCTGGCCAGCAAACTTCTAGACTGCACCTTGAGGGCCAAAAACGTCCAGATTTCCTGCTCAATGCTGTCGTCGCTGTCCACGGAGCTACTGTCACCATCAGAGCGGGAAGGCACGTTGGGGGAGTAGAAGAGTGGGCTTGCGGACAGGGACCCATCGCTGCCCTCCATAGGGCCGGCAGGATCGTCTTGAAAATGTCCAGGACTGCTTCTACACACATCAGCTCAGCGGAGGTGTCTGCCTGGCAAGAGGACCATTCCACAAACTTGCTCCTGGAAGCCGGGCTCGTTGGAGGTGGAGCTTTGGTTTCCTTTGGGATCTTGGGGGAATGGTCAGCGTCCAGATCCCCTGGACCAGGGTCCGTGGTCTTGGTGGGCACTGGCTTCTTCTTGCTGGGTGTTTTCCTGTGGGTCTCTGGCAAGGCACTTTTTGTGGCGCTGCTTGTGCTGTGTGCGGGAGGGGCAGGTGCTCTTTCCTCTTGGAGCTGGACCCTCTGGGGCGGGTCCCCGTCGGCCTCCTTGCGTGTTTTCTGCACCTGGTACAGCTGGATGGCCTCCTCAATGCCGTCGTCGCTGCTGGAGTCGGACGCCTCGGGCGCCTGTACGGCGCTCGTGACTCGCTTTCCCCTCCTTGCGGTGCTGGCGTTCCTTTTAATCCCACTTTTATTCTGTACTGCTTCTGAAGGGCGGTGGGGGTTGCTGGCTTTGTGCTGCCCTCCTTCTCCTGCGTGGTCGTGACCTTGGACCTGAGGCTTCTGGGCTGCACGTTTGTCTTTGCTAACCGGGGGAGGTCTGCAGAAGGCGAACTCCTTCTGGACGCCCATCAGGCCCTGCCGGTGCACCACCTTTGTAGCCGGCTCTTGGTGGGATTTCGAGAGTGACTTCGCCGAATTTTCATGTGTGTCTGGTTTCTTCTCCACTGACCCATCACATTTTTGGTTCTCATGCTGTCTTTTCTCATTCAGAAACTGTTCGATTTCTGCCCTGATGCTCTGCTCAAAGGAGTCTGCTCTGCTCATGCTGACTGGGGAGGCAGAGCCCTGGTCCTTGCTGGATCCCACCTGGCTGCCAGGGCCACACCACCTGAGCCAGGTACAAGTTTTGGGGAACACAGGGCAGTTGGGCACTGCTGTGAGCCAGTTCCGGCTTACATCTACTGCCTCCGCCTGCAGCCCTGGAAGGCTGTGCATGGCTGGGCCCCGCTGGCCCCGGGCTGTGCGGCTCCACTCTTTACCTTCAGGTACTCCTGGATGGCCTCCTCAATGTCCCGGTCCACGGAATCGTCACTGTCTGAATCTAGCACCAATGGGCCAAAGTCTGCAGTTTCCTCCTCCCCCACGGGGTCAAAGTCAGCAACAAGACCACAGGCAGCCAACGCAGGCAGCTCCTTGTGCATGGTGGGCTTGGCAGCAGGCCTGGCGTCGTGGCATCCCTCTGCCCCCTCTGCGCAGTGCGCTCATCGCTGGTGCCCCTAGCAGCCCTGTCGCTCTGCAGCGTGCTGATGAGCATCTGCACCCGGGTGCTCACCGACATGCTCTCCACGCCCTTGTCAGCCTCCGAGAAGCACCCGGGGAACCTAAAGCTCCCTGGTGGGACAGAGGCCACCCATTTGCGCTGGAGAGCAACCACTGGAGGAGCATTCATGAGAAACATTCTGGCAGATGGGGAGCGACGCGCAGAGGGGCGACACTTTATTTCTCTGCAGGCTTCACATCCTCCAAAGATTGGCAAGCAGTACCCGTGAAATAACTTTAAACCTGCAAATGCTTCTTTGCAGGTTTAAAAGGATGACTATAAACTATGACGTCATGCCTAGATTCATTCTTGACCCAACCAACAAGCTCTTGACATTCTCTGAGTCCAGGTTGACTGTGATGAAAGGCAGCTAGTGTTCCCAAATGGCCCAGGGATCAGGTCTTCATCGCTCCACTCAGAGGGAAGCATCCTCTCTCTGCTTTTTAAATAGACTTTTGACTGGGGCTCCAGCAGCGCGGGGCGCGCAGACCTGGAGTTGCATGGAGGCCAGAGCCACGACACCCGCCTGGGGAACGGAGCAGCCCCAGGCGCTGATCCCCGTCCACCTGCCCCACGGAGCCCTCGCCGCCCGCTTGCCACTGCCTGCATGGCCCTCCTGTCCCCGGCCCCCCAGCCCTCCTTTCCCCAGCTCCCCCACCCTCCTGTCCCCGGCACCCCAGCTTCCCAGCCCCCGAAACCGCCCCCCCACCTCGACCCGGCCCATGCCGCAAGTCGCCCGCTGCGCGGACCCGGCCTCCGCCCGCCTCCTGCGTCCTGGGGGAGGCGGCTGCCGGGGGTGGTGGGGGAGGGAGAGGGGGAAGAGGCCGCCCTCCGCCCGGGTGCGGGGAGGGGGCGCAGGGGTGTCCGGCCAGGCCCCCCGCCTCCCCGCCTCCCCGCAGCAGCTGCCCCGCTCCCGGGCCGCCTAATACTTTTACATTTTAACTTTTATACTACAGTGAAAAGTGATTTACACACCACCACTGCAATATTACAGTGTTATGAATGTGACTATATACTTACCTTTCCCTGTGAACTTTTTTTTTTGAGACAGAGTCTCGCTCTGTCGCCCAGGCTGGAGGGCAGTGTCCATGATCTCGGCTCGCTGCAAGCTCTGCCTCCCGGGTTCAAGTCATTCTCCTGCCTCGGCCTCCCGAGTAGCTGGGACTACAGGCACCCGCCACCACGCCTGGCTAATTTTTTGTATTTTTAGTAGAGACGGGGTTTCACCGTGTTAGCCAGCATGATCCCCCTCTTCTGACCTTGTGATCCACCCGCCTTGGCCTCCCAAAGTGCTGGGATTACAGGCGTGAGCCACTGCGCCCGGCCTACCTGTGAACTTAATATCTTAATGTTTTAATGTTGCTAATCAGAATCCTTTTATTTCAACTTGAAAAACTGCCTTATAAGGCAGGTGCAGTGGTGATGAACTCCCTTAGAATTTTTTTGGTGGGAGTCTGGGAAAGACCTTATCATCTCTTTTTCATTTCTGAAGGACAGCTTTACAAGTTGTGGTCTTCCTGATTGGCAGTTTTTTTCTTCCAATACATTGAATATAGCATCCTATTCTCTCCTGGCTTATAAGGTTGCTGCTGAGAAATCCACTGATAGCCTTATTGAAGTTTCCTTGTATGTGATGAATTCCTTTCTTCTTGCTGCTTTTGAAAGTCTCTGTCTTTGACTTTTGATATTTTAATTATAATACATCTTGGTATTATGGTCTTTGGGCTGGCCTTTTTTGGGGCCTCTGAACTTCATGTGTCTGGAAGCCCACTTGCCTCTAAGAATTTGGAAAGTTTTTACCCATTATGTCTTCAAATATACTTTCAGGCCTTTTCTATCTTTTTTACTTCTAGAAAGTCCATAATATGTTTGACCCACTTCATGGTGGTGTCCTATAAATCCCAAAGGTTTTTACTTTATAAACTTTTTTTTCTTTCTGGTCTTCTGACGGGATATTTCAAATGTCCTGTCTTTAATTTCACAGATTCTTTCTTCTGTTTGATCAAGTCTGCAATTGAAATTCTCTATTGCATTTTCATTTCATTCATTTATTTATTTTTATATATTTTTGAGACAGAGTCTGTGTCACCCAGGCTTGAATGCAGTGGTGCCATCTTGGCTCACTCCAACTTCCACCTCCCGGTTCAAGCGATTCTCCTGCCTCAGCCTCCCTAGTAGCTAGGATTACAGGCATATGCCACCATGCCTGGCTAATTTTTGTATTTTTAATACAGATGGGGTTTTGGCATGTTGGCCAGGCTGGTCTTGAACTCTTGCCATCAAGTGATCTGCCTGCCTCGGCCTCCCAAAGTGCTGGGATTACAGGCGTCCGCCACGGCACCCAGCTTGCATTTTCATTTTATTCATTGTATTCTTCAGTTCTAGAATTTCTGTTTGGTTCTTATTATTTCTGTATCTTTATTGAACTTTTAGTTTTGTTCATCTACTATTTTCTTGATATTATTGAGTTGATATATACATTCTAGTAAATTTCACTGAGCTATCTTAATTATTTTGAATTGTCAGGCAATTTGTAGATCTCTATTTTTGGGGGGTTGATTACTGGAGATTTATGAGTTTATTTTGGTAGTGTCATATTTGCTGATTCTTCATGATCTACAAACTTTCATTAATGTCTATGAAGAAGCAAATACCTCTTCTTTTCTTTTTTTTTTTTTTTTGAGACAGAGTCTTGCTCTGTCACCCAGCTGGAGTGCAGTGGCGTGATCTCAGCTCACTGTAACCTCCACCTCCCAGGTTCAAATGATTCTCCTGCCTCAGCCTCCCAAGCAGCTGGGATCACAGGCATGTGCCACCACGCCTGGCCAATTTTTTTGTATTTTTTGTAGAGACAGAGTTTCACCGTGTTGTCCAGGCTGGTCTCAAACTCCTGGCCTCAAGTGGTCTGCCCGCCTTGGCCTCCCAAAGTGCTGGGATTACAGTTGTGAGCCACCATGCCCAATCTCTTTCTGTCTTTATAGATTGGTTTCAGCAGGTACAAACCTTTTCCTGCTGGATCCCTTGACTGGATCACAGTCAAGTGGGCCTGGAGCCATATCACATGGCTGCTGCCTGGTCTGCAGCTGAATCTCTGATTGGCAGGCCGCTATCAAGGCATAGGTTGGTGATGCAGTTTCTGCTGGATCCTCAGGAGAACTGGACTGCCTCTGATACCCTGATTGAACAGGACTGGAGCCAGGTCATGGGGCCACTTCTAGTTCTACAGTCAAGTCTTCAGATATCAGGCCTATTACCAAGGGCATGGACTGGTATAGCTCCCTGTGGGTCCCAGATTGAGCTCCTGCTGGCTTACTAGGTAGGTCCATGGGAAGACAGGACTGCCTCCAGACCACAGTAGAGCAGGGCTAGAGCCAAGTCACAGGACAGCTTTGGTGACCACATTTGGGTTCAAGATTGGTGGTCCTCTTATTAGGAGAATGGATGGTATGTCTTTCACCAGGTCCCAGGATGGGCTGGACTGTGCCCAGACTGTGGCAAAGCAAGACTGGAATGGAGTCACAGGGCTACTTTAGTGTCCATAGCTGAGACTGAGATCAGCAGGCCTGTTACCAAGGGCATGTAAAGGCATCACTGAATTCCTGGGCAGGCACGACTGACTGTGGTAGAGTGGGGCTGAAGCCAGGTCAGGGCTGCTTTAGTTTCTGCAGTCAGGACCATGGTTAGAAGGCCTGTTACTGGGGGCATAAATGGTCATGGTTCCTCCTAGGTGCTTAGTGGATGGGGCTAGTTGCAAGACCATGATCTAGTGGAGCTGGACCCAAGTCCATAGGAGGACAAAGCTGCTTTCAGTCTGCAACTGGGAACCTGTCACTGGTGTGTGGACCTGCCTTCTCAAAGCAGCTCTCCTTGGTTTTGGGCTTTGCTAGAGTTTTGCCACCTCCTGCCTGGATATTAAAACTCTTGCAAAGGCAGTTTTGTCCATGAATGGCTGCCAGATCATTGTTTGTGTGGGGAGAGGTGAGTGGAGGGCCTCCTGTTCTGCCATCTTGCTGATGTCACCCTAAGATGATTATTTGAATTCTTTGTCAGGCAATTTGTAGATCTTCATGTCTTTGGAGTCAGCCACTGGAGTTTCATTTTGTTTCTTTGGTGGTGTCATATTTTCTCATGCTTCCTGTTCTTTGAAGACTTAGATTGCTTTCTTCATGTTTGAAGAAGGAGTCATCTTTTCCACTCTTTACTAACTTCAGGAGAGAAAGACCATCAATTAGCTAAGCTATAGATTCTGGGGGTCTCTCAGTCCTTTTCTGTGGGTGGTCCTTCCCTTTCAAGGGGGATGTCTTAGGATTTTGTCCCTTGTCTTCATTTCACAAATGAATAAAACAACCAGACCAGACATAAGTAAGGAAATACAGCACTTGAACAACACCTGAAAAAACAACTAGACCTAACAGACATACACAGGATATTCTACCCAACAACATAATACACATACTTCTCAAGTATACATGGGACATTTTCAGGATAGACCACATAACACATCACAAATTAATTCTCAATAGGGGCTGGGTGCAGTGGCTCACATCTGTAATCACAGAGTAATTTGGGAGGCTGAGGCGGGTGGATTGCTTGAAGCCAGGAGCTTGACATCAGCCTGGCCAACATGGTGAAACCCCATCTCTACTAAAAATACAAAAATTAGCTGGGCGTGGTGGTGTGTGCCTGTGATCCCAGCTTCTTGGGAGGCTGAAGCGTGAGAATTGCTTAGGAGCCCAGGAGGTTGAAGCTGTAGTGAGCAGAGATTGTACCACTGTACTCCAGCCTGTACTTCATGACAAAGAAAATGTACCATTGTACCACTGACAGAATGAGACCCTGTCCCAAAAAAGGAAAAAAGCTCAGTAGATTTAAAATGATAGACATCATACAAAGTGTCTTCTCTGACCACAACAGGATAAAGTTAGAAATCAATAACAGAAGATTTTAAAAAGTTCACAAATTAGTAGAATTTAAACAACACACTCTCAAACAACCAATGGATCAAAGAAATCACAAAGAAATTATAAAATTCTTAAAGACAAATGAAAATGAAAGCACACTATATCCAAACTTATGGGTTGTGGCCAGTTGTGGTGGCTCACACCTGTAATCCCAGCACTTTGGGAGACTGAGGGAGGTGGATAGCTAGAAGTCAGGAGTTCAAGATCAGCCAGGCCAACATGGCGAAACCCTGTCTCTACTAAAAACACAAAAATTAGCTGGGAGTGGTGGTACGTGCCTGTAGTCCCAGCTACCCAGCAGGCTGAGGCATGAGAATTTCTTGAACCCAGGAGGCAGAGGTTGCACCACTGAGCTAACACCACTGCACTCCAGCCTGGGTGACAGAATGAGACTCTGTCTCAAAAAACAAAGAAACAACAAAAAAACACAACTTATGAGTTGTGGTGAAAGGAGTGCTAAGGAGGAAATTTATAGCTATAAACACATTAAAAAAAGAAACACCTCAATTCAACAACATAAGTTTACACATTAAGAAACTAGAAAAAGAAGAATAAAACTAAACCCAAAGTTAGCAGAAGGAAGGAAACAATAGAGATCAGGGCAGAGATAAATGGAAAAGAGAATAGAAAAACAATAAAAAACAAAACCAAAAGTTGGTTCTTCAAAAAGATTAATAAAACTGACAAGACTAAGGAAAAGGGAAACAATCTAAATTACTTAAAACAGAAATGTATTTGAGAATATCTTTATATATTTCTGTCTGTCTGTCTGTCTGTCTGTCTGCCTGTCTATGTTTTAGAGACAAGGTCTAGCTCCATTGCCCTGGCAACAATCAGATGCAACCACAATCAGTGGCACAATCGGCTCACTGCAGCCTTGAATTCCTGGGCTCGCCACTATGCCAGCTCTTTTTTTTTTTTTTTTTAAGAGACAGGATCTTGCCATGTTATCCAGGCTGATCTTGAACTCCTGGCCTCAAGGAATTTTCCCACCTCGGCCTCCCAAATTGTTGGATTACAGGCATGACCCACCATTCCCAGCCTAGAAAGGATTATAAAAGATTACTATAAATAATTGTGTGCTCATAAATTGGATAACCCAGATGAAATAGATGAATTCCGCG